>NC_000014.9:16404448-16704448 GCF_000001405.40 Homo sapiens | reverse complement strand
AATCCCGTTTCCAACGAAATCCTCCAAGCTATCCAAATATCCACTTGCAGATTCCACAGAAAGACTGTTTCAAAACTGCTCTGTCAATAGAAAGGTTCAACTCTGTTACCTGCGTGCATATATCCCAAAGAAGATTCTGAGATTGCTTCTGTCTAGTTTTTATGGGAAAATATTTCCCTTTTCACCGTAGGTGTCAAGGCGCTCCAAATGTCCACTTCCAGATGCTACAAAAAGAGTGTTTCAAACCTACTCTGTGAAAGGGAATATTCAACTCTGTGACTTGAATGCAGATATCACAAAGAAGTTTCTGAGAATGCTTCTGTCGAGATTTTCTATGAAGATATTCCCGTTTCCAACGAAATCCTGAAATCTATCCAAATATCCCCTCGCAGATTCTACAAAAAGAGTGTTTCAAAACCGCTCTGTAAAAAGAAAGGTTCAACTCTGTTAGTTGAGTACACACATCACAAACAAGTTTCACAGAATGCTACTTTCTAGCTTGTAGGGGAAGATATTCCCTTTATCACCATGGGCCTCCAACCGTCCGAAACATCCACTTCCATATACTACAAAAAGAGCGTTTCAAACCTGCTCTATGAAAGGCAATGTTCAACTCTGTGACTTGAATGCAGACATCACAGAGCAGTTTCTGAGAATGCTTCTGTCTAGATTTTATAGGAAGATATTCCCGTTTCCAACGAAATCTTCACAGCTATCCAAATATCCACTTGCAGATTCTACAAAAAGAGTGTATCAAAACTGCTCTGTCAAAAGGAAGGTTCTTCTCTGTTAGTTGAGTACATACGTCATAAAGGAGTTTCTGAGAATCTTTCTGTCTAGTGGTTATGGGAAGATATTTGCTTTTTCACCGTAGGCCTCAGAGCGCTCCAAATATCCCCTTGCACATACTACAAAAAGAGTGCTTCAAAGCTGCTCTCTGAAAGGGAATGTTCAACTCTGTGAGTTGAATGCAAACATCACAAAGACGTTTCTGAGAATGCTTCTGTCTAGATTTGATATGAAGATATTCCCGTTTCCAAAGAAATCTTCAAATCTATCCAAATGTCCACTTGCAGATTCAACAAAAAGTGTTTTTCAGAACTGCTCTATCAAAAGAAAGATCCACCTCTGTTAGCTGAGTTCACACATCACAAACAAGTTTATGAGAATGCTTTCTGTCTAGTTTTTATTTGAAGATATTTCCTTTCTCACCATAGACCTGAAAGCTGTCCTAATGTTCACTTCCAGATACTACAGAAAGAGTGTTTCAAAACTGCTGTACGAAAGGGAATGTTCAACTCTGTGACTTGAATGCACACATCACAAAGAAGTTTCTGAGAATGCTGCTGTCTACTTTTTATACGTAATCCCGTTTCCAACGAAATCCTCCAATCTAACCAAATATCCACTTGCAGATTCCACAGAAAGACTGTTTCAAAACTGCTCTGTCAATAGAAAGGTTCAACTCTGTTAGCTGCGTGCATATATCCCAAAGAAGATTCTGAGATTGCTTCTGTCTAGTTTTTATGGGAAGATGTTTCCCTTTTCACCGTAGGCGTCAAGGCGCTCCAAATGTATACTTCCAGATACTACAAAAGAGTGTTTCAAACCTACACTGTGAAAGGGAATATTCAACTCTGTGACTTGAATGCAGATATCACAAAGAAGTTTCTGAGAATGCTTCTGTCGAGATTTTATATGAAGATATTCCCGTTTCCAACGAAATCCTGAAATCTATCCAAATATCCCCTCGCAGATTCTACAAAAAGAGTGTTTCAAAACTGCTCTGTAAAAAGAAAGGTTCAACTCTGTTAGTTGAGTACACACATCCCAAACAAGTTTCACACAATGCTTCTTTCTAGCTTGTAGGGGAAGATATTTCCTTTATCACCATCATCCTCAAACCATCCGAATCGTCCACTTCCATATACTAAAAAAAGAGTGTTTGAAACCTGCTCTATGAAAGGCAATGTTCAACTCTGTGACTTGAATGCAGACATCACAGAGCAGTTTCTGAGAATGCTTCTGTCCAGACTTTATAGGAAGATATTCCCGTTTCCATCGAAATCTTCACAGCTATCCAAATATCCACTTGCAGATAGTACAAAAAGAGTGTATCAAAAATGCTCTGTCAAAAGGAAAGTTCTTCTCTGCTAGTTGAGTACATACGTCATAAAGAAGTTTCTGAGAATGTTCCTGTCTAGTGGTTATGGGAAGATATTTGCTTTTTCCCTGTAGGCCTCAAAGCGCTCCAAATGTCCACTTCAACGTACTACAAAAAGAGTGCTTCAAAGCTGCTCTCTGAAAGGGAATGTTCAACTCTATGAGTTGAATGCTAACATCACAAAGACGTTTCTGAGAATGCTTCTGTCTAGACTTGATATGAAGATATTCCCGTTTCCAACAAAATCTTCAAATCTATCCAAATGTCCACTTGCAGATTCAACAAAAAGTGTTTTTCAGAACTGCTCTATCAAAAGAAAGATCCACCTCTGTTAGCTGAGTTCACACATCACAAGCAAGTTTATGAGAATGCTTCTGTCCAGTTTTTATTTGAAGATATTTCCTTTCTCACCATAGAGCTGAAAGCTGTCCTAATGTTCACTTCCAGATACTACAGAAAGAGTGTTTCAAAACTGCTGTACGAAAGGGAATGTTCAACTCTGTGACTTGAATGCACACATCACAAAGAAGTTTCTGAGGATGCTGCTGTCTACTTTTTATATGTAATCCCGTTTCCAACGAAATCCTCCAATCTATCCAAATATCCACTTGCAGATTCCACAGAAACACTGTTTCAAAACTGCTCTGTCAATAGAAAGGTTAAACTCTGTTAGCTGCGTGCATATATCCCAAAGAAGATTCTGAGATTGCTTCTGTCTAGTTTTTATGGGAAGATATTTCCCTTTTCACCGTAGGTGTCAAGGCGCTCCCAATGTCCACTTCCAGATACTACAAAAAGAGTGTTTCAAACCTACTTGGTGAAAGGGAATATTCAACTCTGTGACTTGAATGCAGATATCACAAAGATGTTTCTGAGAATGCTTCCGTCGAGATTTTATATGAAGATATTCCCGTTTCCAACGAAATCCTGAAATCTATCCAAATATCCCCTCGCAGATTCTACAAAAAGAGTGTTTCAACACTGCTCTGTAAAAAGAAAGGTTCAACTCTGTTAGTTGAGTACACACATCACAAACAAGTATCACAGAATGCTTCTTTCTAGCTTGTAGGGGAAGATATTCCCTTTATCACCATGGGCCTCAAACCGTCTGAAACGTCCACTTCCATATACTGCAAAAAGAGCATTCCAAACCTGCTCTATGAAAGGCAATGTTCAACTCTGTGACTTGAATGCAGACATCACAGAGCAGTTTCTTGAGAATGCTTCTGTCTAGATTTTATAGGAAGATATTCCCGTTTCCAACGAAATCTTCACAGCTATCCAAATATCCACTTGCAGATTCTACAAAAGGAGTGTATCAAAACTGCTCTGTCAAAAGGAAGGTTCTTCTCTGCTAGGTGAGTGCATACGTCATAAAAGAGTTTCTGAGAATGTTTCTGTCTAGTGGTTATGGGAAGATATTTGCTTTTTCACCGTAGGCCTCACAGCGCTCCAAATATCCACTTGCACACACTACAAAAAGAGTGCTTCAAAGCTGCTCTCTGAAACGGAATGTTCAACTCTATGAGTTGAATGCAAACATCACAAAGACGTTTCTGAGAATGCTTCTGTCTAGATTTGATATGAAGATATTCCCGTTTCCAACGAAATCTTCAAATCTATCCAAATGTCCACTTGCAGATTCAACAAAAAGTGTTTTTCCGAACTGCTCTATCAAAAGAAAGATCCATCTCTGTTAGCTGAGTTCACACATCACAAACAAGTTTATGAGAATGCTTCTGTCTAGTTTTTATTTGAAGATATTTCCTTTCTCACCATAGACCTGAAAACTGTCCTAATGTTCACTTACAGATACTACAGAAAGAGTGTTTCAAAACTGCTGTACGAAAGGGAATGTTCAACTCTGTGACTTGAATGCACACATCACAAAGAAGTTTCTGAGGATGCTGCTGTCTACTTTTTATACGTAATCCCGTTTCCAACGAAATCCTCCAAGCTATCCAAATATCCACTTGCAGATTCCACAGAAAGACTGTTTCAAAACTGCTCTGTCAATAGAAAGGTTCAAATCTGTTAGCTGCGTGCATATATCCCAAAGAAGATTCTGAGATTGCTTCTGTCTACTTTTTATGAGAAGATATTTCCCTTTTCACCGTAGGCGTCAAGGTGCTCAAAATGTCCACTTCCAGATACTACAAAAAGAGTGTTTCAAACCTACTCTGTGAAAGGGAATATTCAACTCTCTGACTTGAATGCACATATCACAAAGAAGTTTCTGAGAATGCTTCTGTCGAGATTTTTTATGAAGATATTCCCGTTTCCAACGAAATCTTGAAATCTATCCAAATATCCCCTCGCAGATTCTACAAAAAGAGTGTTTCAAAACTGCTCTGTAAAAAGAAAGGTTCAACTCTGTTAGTTGAGTACACACATCACAAACAAGTTTCACAGAATGCTTCTTTCTAGCTTGTAGGGGAAGATATTCCCTTTATCACCATGGGCCTCAAACCGTCCGAAACATCCACTTCCATATACTACAAAAAGAGCGTTTCAAACCTGCTCTATGAAAGGCAATGTTCAACTCTGTGACTTGAATGCAGACATCACAGAGCAGTTTCTGAGAATGCTTCTGTCTAGATTTTATAGGAAGATATTCCCGTTTCCAACGAAATCTTCACAGCTATCCAAATATCCACTTGCAGATTCTACAAAAAGAGTGTATCAAAACTGCTCTGTCAAAAAGAAGGTTCTTCTCTGTTAGTTGAGTACATACGTCATAAAGGAGTTTCTGAGAATGTTTCTGTCTAGTGGTTATGGGAAGATATTTGCTTTTTCCCTATAGGCCTCAGAGCGCTCCAAATATCCACTTGCACATACTACAAAAAGAGTGCTTCAAAGCTGCTCTCTGAAAGGGAATGTTCAACTCTATGAGTTGAATGCAAACATCACAAAGACGTTTCTGAGAATGCTTCTGTCTAGATTTGATATGAAGATATTCCCGTTTCCAAAGAAATCTTCAAATCTACCCAAATGTCCACTTGCAGATTCAACAAAAAGTGTTTTTCAGAACTGCTCTATCAAAAGAAAGATCCACGTCTCTTAGCTGAGTTCACACATCACAAACAAGTTTATGAGAATGCTTCTGTCTAGTTTTTATTTGAAGATATTTCCTTTCTCACCATAGACCTGAAAGCTGTCCTAATGTTCACTTCCAGATACTACAGAAAGAGTGTTTCAAAACTGCTGTACGAAAGGGAATGTTCAACTCTGTGACTTGAATGCATACATCACAAAGAAGTTTCTGAGGATGCTGCTGTCTACTTTTTGTACGTAATCCCGTTTCCAACGAAATCCTCAAAGCTATCCAAATATCCACTTGCAGATTCCACAGAAAGACTGTTTCAAAACTGCTCTGTCAATAGAAAGGTTCAACTCTGTTAGCTGCGTGCATATATCCCAAAGAAGATTCTGAGATTGCTTCTGTCTACTTTTTATGAGAAGATATTTCCCTTTTCACCGTAGGCGTCAAGGCGCTCCAAATGTCCACTTCCAGATACTACAAAAAGAGTGTTTCAAACCTACTCTGTGAAAGGGAATATTCAACTCTGTGACTTGAATGCACATATCACAAAGAAGTTTCTGAGAATGCTTCTGTCGAGATTTTCTATGAAGATATTCCCGTTTCCAATGAAATCCTGAAATCTATCCAAATATCCCCTCGCAGATTCTACAAAAAGAGTGTTTCAAAACTGCTCTGTAAAAAGAAAGGTTCAACTCTGTTAGTTGAGTACACACATCACAAACAAGTTTCACAGAATGCTTCTTTCTAGCTTGTAGGGGAAGATATTCCCTGTATCACCATGGACCTCAAACCGTCCGAAACATCCACTTCCATATACTAAAAAAAGAGTGTTTGAAACCTGCTCTATGAAAGGCAATGTTCAACTCTGTGACTTGAATCCAGACATCACAGAGCAGTTTCTGAGAATGCTTCTGTCCAGACTTTATAGGAAGATATTCCCGTTTCCAACGAAATCTTCACAGCTATCCCAATATCCACTTGCAGATAGTACAAAAAGAGTGTATCAAAAATGCTCTGTCAAAAGGAAAGTTCTTCTCTGCTAGTTGAGTACATACGTCATAAAGAAGTTTCTGAGAATGTTTCTGTCTAGTGGTTATGGGAAGATATTTGCTTTTTCACCGTAGACCTCAGAGCGCTCCAAATATCCACTTGCACATACTACAAAAAGAGTGCTTCAAACCTGCTCTCTGAAACGGAATGTTCAACTCTATGAGTTGAATGCAAACATCACAAAGACGTTTCTGAGAATGCTTCTGTCTAGATTGATATGAAGATATTCCCGTTTCCAACGAAATCTTCAAATCTATCCAAATGTCCACTTGCAGATTCAACAAAAAGTGTTTTTCAGAACTGCTCTATCAAAAGAAAGATCCACCTCTGTTAGCTGAGTTCAGACATCACAAACAAGTTTATGAGAATGCTTCTGTCTAGTTTTTATTTGAAGATATTTCCTTTCTCACCATAGACCTGAAAGCTGTCCTAATGTTTACTTCCAGATGCTACAGAAAGAGTGTTTCAAAACTGCTGTACGAAAGGGAATGTTCAACTCTGTGACTTGAATGCACACATCACAAAGAAGTTTCTGAGGATGCTGCTGTCTACTTTTGATACGTAATCCCCTTTCCAACGAAATCCTCCAATCTATCCAAATATCCACTTGCAGATTCCACAGAAAGACTGTTTCAAAACTGCTCTGTCAATAGAAAGGTTCAACTCTGTTAGCTGCGTGCATATATCCCAAAGAAGATTCTGAGATTGCTTCTGTCTTGTTTTTATGGGAAGATATTTCCCTTTTCACCGTAGGCGTCAAGGCGCTCCAAATGTCCACTTCCAGATACTACAAAGAGTGTTTCAAACCTACTCTGTGAAAGGGAATATTCAACTCTGTGACTTGAATGCAGATATCACAAATAAGTTTCTGAGAATGCTTCTGTCGAGATTTTATATGAAGATATTCCCGTTTCCAACAAAATGCTGAAATGTATCCAAATATCCCCTCGCAGATTCTACAAAAAGAGTGTTTCAAAACTGCTCTGTAAAAAGAAAGGTTCAACTCTGTTAGTTGAGTACACACATCACAAACAAGTTTCACAGAATGCTTCTTTCTAGCTTGTAGGGGAAGATATTCCCTTTATCACCATGGGCCTCAAACCGTCCGAAACGTCCACTTCCATATACTACAAAAAGAGCGTTTCAAACCTGCTCTATGAAAGGCAATGTTCAACTCTGTGACTTGAATGCAGACATCACAGAGCAGTTTCTCAGAATGCTGCTGTCTAGATTTTATACGAAGATATTCCCGTTTCCAACGAAATCTTCAATGCTATTCAAATATCCACTTGCAGATTCTACAAAAAGAGTGTATCAAAACTGCTCTGTCAAAAGGAAGGTTCTTCTCTGTTAGGTGAGTGCATACGTCATAAAGGAGTTTCTGAGAATGTTTCTGTCTAGTGGTTATGGGAAGATATTTGCTTTTTCACCGTAGGCCTCAGAGCGCACCAAATATCCACTTGCACATACTACAAAAAGAGTGCTTCAAAGCTGCTCTCTGAAACGGAATGTTCAACTCTATGAGTTGAATGCAAACATCACAAAGACGTTTCTGAGAATGCTTCTGTCTAGATTTGATATGAAGATATTCCCGTTTCCAACGAAATCTTCAAATCTATCCAAATGTCCACTTGCAGATTCAACAAAAAGTGTTTTTCAGAACTGCTCTATCAAAAGAAAGATCCACCTCTGTTAGCTGAGTTCTCACATCACAAACAAGTTTATGAGAATGCTTCTGTCTAGTTTTTATTTGAAGATATTTCCTTTCTCACCATAGAGCTGAAAGCTGTCCTAATGTTCACTTCCGGATACTACAGAAAGAGTGTTTCAAAACTGCTGTACGAAAGGGAATGTTCAACTCTGTGACTTGAATGCACACATCACAAAGAAGTTTCTGAGGATGCTGCTGTCTACTTTTTATACGTAATCCCGTTTCCAACGAAATCCTCCAAGCTATCCAAATATCCACTTGCAGATTCCACAGAAAGACTGTTTCTAAACTGCTCTATCAATAGAAAGGTTCAACTCTGTTAGCTGCGTGCATATATCCCAAAGAAGATTCTGAGATTCCTTCTGTCTAGTTTTTATGGGAAGATATTTCCCTTTTTCACCGTAGGTGTCAAGGCGCTCCAAATGTCCACTTCCAGATACTACAAAAAGAGTGTTTCAAACCTACTCTGTGAAAGGGAATATTCAACTCTGTGACTTGAATGCAGATATCACAAAGTAGTTTCTGAGAATGCTTCTGTCGAGATTTTATATGAAGATATTCCCGTTTCCAACGAAATCCTGAAATCTATCCAAATATCCCCTCGCAGATTCTACAAAAAGAGTGTTTCAAAACTGCTCTGTAAAAAGAAAGGTTCAACTCTGTTAGTTGAGTACACACATCACAAACAAGTTTCACAGAATGCTTCTTTCTAGCTTGTAGGGGAAGATATTCCCTTTATCACCATGGGCCTCAAACCGTCCGAAACGTCCACTTCCATATACTACAAAAAGAGCGTTTCAAACCTGCTCTATGAAAGGCAATGTTCAACTCTGTAACTTGAATGCAGACATCACAGAGCAGTTTCTGAGAATGCTTCTGTCTAGATTTTATAGGAAGATATTCCCGTTTCCAACGAAATCTTCACAGCTATCCAAATATCCACTTGCAGATTCTACAAAAAGAGTGTATCAAAACTGCTCTGTCTAAAGGAAGGTTCTTCTCTGTTAGGTGAGTGCATACGTCATAAAGGAGTTTCTGAGAATGTTTCTGTCTAGTGGTTATGGGAAGATATTTGCTTTTTCACCTTAGGCCTCAGAGCGCTCCAAATATCCACTTGCACATACTACAAAAACAGTGCTTCAAAGCTGCTCTCTGAAAGGGAATGTTCAACTCTATGAGTTGAATGCAAACATCACAAAGACGTTTCTGAGAAGCTTCTGTCTAGATTTGATATGAAGATATTCCCGTTTCCAACGAAATCTTCAAATCTATCCAAATGTCCACTTGCAGATTCAACAAAAAGTGTTTTTCAGAACTGCTCTATCAAAAGAAAGATCCACCTCCGTTAGCTGAGTTCACACATCACAAACAAGTTTATGAGAATGCTTCTGTCTAGTTTTTATTTGAAGATATTTCCTTTCTCACCATAGAGCTGAAAGTTGTCCTAATGTTCACTTCCAGATACTACAGAAAGAGTGTTTCAAAACTGCTGTACGAAAGGGAATGTTCAACTCTGTGACTTGAATGCACACATCACAAAGAAGTTTCTGAGGATGCTGCTGTCTACTTTTTATACGTAATCCCGTTTCCAACGAAATCCTCCAAGGTATCCAAATATCCACTTGCAGATTCCACAGAAAGACTGTTTCAAAACTGCTCTGTCAATAGAAAGGTTCAACTCTATTAGCTGCGTACATATATCCCAAAGAAGATTCTGAGATTGCTTCTGTCTAGTTTTTATGGGAAGATATTTCCCTTTTCACCGTAGGCGTCAAGGCGCTCCAAATGTCCACTTCCAGATACTACAAAAAGAGTGTTTCAAACCTACTCTGTGAAAGGGAATATTCAACACTGTGACTTGAATGCACATATCACAAGGAAGTTTCTGAGAATGCTTCTGTCGAGATTTTATATGAAGATATTCCCGTTCCCAACGAAATCCTGAAATCTATCCAAATATCCCCTCGCAGATTCTACAAAAAGAGTGTTTCAAAACTGCTCTGTGAAAAGAAAGGTTCAACTCTGTTAGTTGAGTACACACATCACAAACAAGTTTCACAGAATGCTTCTTTCTAGCTTGTAGGGGAAGATATTCCCTTTATCACCATGGGCCTCAAACCGTCCGAAACGTCAACTTCCATATACTACAAAAAGAGCATTTCAAACCTGCTCTATGAAAGGCAATGTTCAACTCTGTGACTTGAATGCAGACATCACAGAGCAGTTTCTGAGAATGCTTCTGTCTAGATTTTATAGGAAGATACTCCCGTTTCCAGCGAAATCTTCACAGCTATCCAAATATCCACTTGCAGATTCTACAAAATGAGTTTATCAAAACTGCTCTGTCAAAAGGAAGGTTCTTCTCTGTTAGTTGAGTACATACGTCATAAAGGAGTTTCTGAGAATGTTTCTGTCTAGTGGTTATGGGAAGATATTTGCTTTTTCACCGTAGGCCTCAGAGCGCTCCAAATATCCACTTGCACATACTACAAAAAGAGTGCTTCAAAGCTGGTCTCTGAAACGGAATGTTCAACTCTATGAGTTCAATGCAAACATCACAAAGACGTTTCTGAGAATGCTTCTGTCTAGATTTGATATGAAGATATTCCCGTTTCCAACGAAATCTTCATATCTATCAAAATGTCCACTTGCAGATTCAACAAAAAGTGTTTTTCAGAACTGCTCTATCAAAAGAAAGATCCACCTCTGTTAGCTGAGTTCACACATCACAAACAAGTTTATGAGAATGCTTCTGTCTAGTTTTTATTTGAAGATATCTCCTTTCTCACTATAGGCCTGAAAGCTCTCGTCCCGTTCACTTCCAGATACTACAGAAAGAGTGTTTCAAACCTGCTGTACGAAAGGGAATGTTCAACACTTTGACTTGAATGCACACATCACAAAGATGTTTCTGAGAATGCTGCTGTCTACTTTTTATACGTAATCCCGTTTCCAACGAAATCCTCCAAGCTATCCAAATATCCACTTGCAGATTCCACAGAAAGACTGTTTCAAAACTGCTCTGTCAATAGAAAGGTTCAACTCTGTTAGCTGCGTGCATACATCCCAAAGAAGATTCGGAGATTGCTTCTGTCTAGTTTTTATGGGAAGATATTTCCTTTTTCACCGTAGGCGTCAAGGCGCTCAAAATGTCCACATCCAAATACTACAAAAAGAGTGTTTCAAACCTACTCTGTGAAAGGGAATATTCAACTCTGTGACTTGAATGCAGATATCACAAAGAAGTTTCTGAGAATGCTTCTGTCGAGATTTTATATGAAGATATTCCCGTTTCCAACGAAATCCTGAAATCTATCCAAATATCCCCTCGCAGATTCTACAAAAAGAGTGTTTCAAAACTGCTCTGTATAAAGAAAGGTTCAACTCTATTAGCTGAGTACACACATCACAAACAAGTTTCACAGAATGCTTCCTTCTAGCTTGTAGGGGAAGATATTCCCTTTATCACCATGGGCCTCAAACCGTCCGAAACGTCCACTTCCATATACTACAAAAAGAGCGTTTCAAACCTGCTCTATGAAAGGCAATGTTCAACTCTGTGACTTGAATGCAGACATCACAGAGCAGTTTCTGAGAATGCTTCTGTCTACATTTTATAGGAAGTTATTCCCGTTTCCAACGAAATCTTCACAGCTATCCAAATATCCACTTGCAGATTCTACAAAAAGAGTGTATCAAAACTGCTCTGTCAAAAGGAAGGTTCTTCTCTGTTAGGTGAGTGCATACGTCATAAAGGAGTTTCTGAGAATGTTTCTGTCTAGTGGTTATGGGAAGATATTTGCTTTTTCACCTTAGGCCTCAGAGCGCTCCAAATATCCCCTTGCACATACTACAAAAAGAGTGCTTCAAAGCTGCTCTCTGAAAGGGAATGTTCAACTCTATGGGTTGAATGCAAACATCACAAAGACGTTTGCTGAGAATGCTTCTGTCTAGATTTGATATGAAGATATTCCCGTTTCCAAAGAAATCTTCCAATCTATCCAAATGTCCACTTGCAGATTCAACAAAAAGTGTTTTTCAAAACTGCTGTATCGAAAGAAAGATCCACCTCTGTTAGTTGAGTTCACACATCACAAACAAGTTTTTAAAAATGCTTCTGTCTATTTTTTATTTGAAGATATAGCCTTTCTCACTATAGACATGAAAGCTCTCCTAAAGTTCACTTCCAGATACTTCAGAAAGAGTGTTTCAAAACTGCTGTAGGAAAGGGAATGTTCAACTCTGTGACTTGAATGCACACATTACAAGGAAGTTTCTGAGGATGCTGCTGTCTAATTTTTATACGTAATCCCGTTTCCAACGAAATCCTCCAAGCTATCCAAATATCCACTTGCAGATTCCACAGAAAGACTGTTTCAAAACTGCTCTGTCAATAGAAAGGTTCAACTCTGTTAGCTGCGTGCATATATCCCAAAGAAGATTCTGAGATTGCTTCTGTCTAGTTTTCATGGGAAGATATTTCCCTTTTCACCGTAGGCGTCAAGGCGCTCCAAATGTCCACTTCCAGATACTACAAAAAGAGTGTTTCAAACCTACTCTGTGAAAGGGAATATTCAACTCTGTGACTAGAATGCACATATCACAAAGAAGTTTCTGAGAATGCATCTGTCGAGATTTTATATGAAGATATTCCCGTTTCCAACGAAATCCTGAAATCTATCCAAATATCCCCTCGCAGATTCTACAAAAAGAGTGTTTCAAAACTGCTCTGTAAAAAGAAAGGTTCAAATCTGTCAGTTGAGTACACACATCACAAACAAGTTTCACACAATGCTTCTTTCTAGCTTGTAGGGGAAGATATTCCCTTTATCACCATGGGCCTCAAACCGTCCGAAAAGTCCACTTCCATATACTACAAAAAGAGCGTTTCAAACCTGCTCTATGAAAGGCAATGTTCAACTCTGTTACTTGAATGCAGACATCACAGAGCAGTTTCTGAGAATGCTTCTGTCTAGATTTTATAGGAAGATATGCCCGTTTCCAACGAAATCTTCACAGCTATCCCAAATATCCACTTGCAGATTCTACAAAAAGAGTGTATCAAAACTGCTCTGTCAAAAGGAAGGTTCTTCTCTGTTAGGTGAGTGCATACGTCATAAAGGAGTTTCTGAGAATGTTTCTGTCTAGTGATTATGGGAAGATATTTGCTTTTTCACCGTAGGCCTCAGAGCGCTCCAAATATCCACTTGCACATACTACAAAAAGAGTGCTTCAAACCTGCTCTCTGAAACGGAATGTTCAACTCTATGAGTTGAATGCAAACATCACAAAGACGTTTCTGAGAATGCTTCTGTCTAGATTTGATATGAAGATATTCCCGTTTCCAACGAAATCTTCAAATCTATCCAAATGTCCACTTGCAGATTCAACAAAACGTGTTTTTCAGAACTGCTCTATCAAAAGAAAGATCCACGTCTCCTAGCTGAGTTCACACATCACAAACAAGTTTATGAGAATGCTTCTGTCTAGTTTTTATTTGAAGATATATCCTTTCTCACTATAGACCTGAAAGCTGTCCTAAAGTTCACTTCCAGATACTACAGAAAGAGTGTTTCAAAACTGCTGTACGAAAGGGAATGTTCAACTCTGTGACTTGAATGCACACATCACAAGGATGTTTACTGAGGATGCTGCTGTCTACATTTGATACGTAATCCCGTTTCCAACGAAATCCTCCAAGCTATCCAAATATCCACTTGCAGATTCCACAGAAAGACTGTTTCAAAACTGCTCTGTCAATAGAAAGGTTCAACTCTGTTAGCTGCGTGCATATATCCCAAAGAAGATTCTGAGATTGCTTCTGTCTAGTTTTGATGGGAAGATATTTCCCTTTTCACCGTAGGCGTCAAGGCGCTCCAAATGTCCACTTCCAGATACTACAAAAAGAGTGTTTCAAACCTACTCTGTGAAAGGGAATATTCAACTCTGTGACTTGAATGCACATATCACAAGGAAAGTTTCTGAGAATGCTTCTGTCGAGATTTTATATGAAGATATTCCCGTTTCCAACGAAATCCCGAAATGTATCCAAATATCCCCTCGCAGATTCTACAAAAAGAGTGTTTCAAAACTGCTCTGTAAAAAGAAAGGTTCAACTCTGTTAGTTGAGTACACACATCACAAACAAGTTTCACACAATGCTTCTTTCTAGCTCGTAGGGGAAGATATTCCCTTTATCACCATGGGCCTCCAACCGTCCGAAACATCCACTTCCATATACTACAAAAAGAGCGTTTCAAACCTGCTCTATGAAAGGCAATGTTCAACTCTGTGACTTGAAAGCAGACATCACAGAGCAGTTTCTGAGAATGCTTCTGTCTAGATTTTATAGGAAGATATTTCCGTTTCCAACGAAACCTTCACAGCTATCCAAATATCCACTTGCAGATTCTACAAAAAGAGTGTATCAAAACTGCTCTGTCAAAAGGAAGGTTCTTCTCTGTTAGGTGAGTGCATACGTCATAAAGGAGTTTCTGAGAATGTTTCTGTCTAGTGGTTATGGGAAGATATTTGCTTTTTCACCGTAGGCCTCAGAGCGCTCCAAATATCCACTTGCACATACTACAAAAAGAGTGCTTCAAAGCTGCTCTCTGAAAGGGAATGTTCAACCCTATGAGTTGAATGCAAACATCACAAAGACGTTTCTGGGAATGCTTCTGTCTAGATTTGATATGAAGATATTCCCGTTTCCAACGAAATCTTCAAATCTATCCAAATGTCCACTTGCAGATTCAACAAAAAGTGTTTTTCAGAACTGCTCTATCAAAAGAAAGATCCACCTCTGTTAGCTGAGTTCACACATCACAAACAAGTTTTTGAGAATGCTTCTGTCTAGTTTTTATTTGAAGATATTTCCTTTCTCACCATAGACCTGAAAGCTGTCCTAATGTTCACTTCCAGATACTACAGAAAGAGTGTTTCAAAACTGCTGTACGAAAGGGAATGTTCAACTCTGTGACTTGAATGCACACATCACAAAGATGTTTCTGAGGATGCGGCTGTGTACTTTTTATACGTAATCCCGTTTCCAACGAAATCCTCCAATCTATCCAAATATCCACTTGCAGATTCCACAGAAAGACTGTTTCAAATCTGCTCAGTCAATAGAAAGGTTCAACTCTGTTAGCTGCGTGCATATATCACAAAGAAGATTCTGAGTTTGCTTCTGTCTAGTTTTTATGGGAAGATATTTCCCTTTTCACCGTAGGCGTCAAGGCGCTCCAAATGTCCACTTCCAGATACTACAAAAAGAGTGTTTCAAACCTACTCTGTGAAAGGGAATATTCAACTCTGTGACTTGAATGCACATATCACAAAGAAGTTTCAGAGAATGCTTCCGTCGAGATTTTATATGAAGATATTCCCGTTTCCAACGAAATCCTGAAATCTATCCAAATATCCCCTCGCAGATTCTACAAAAAGAGTGTTTCAAACCTACTCTGTGAAAGGGAATATTCAACTCTGTGACTTGAATGCACATATCACAAAGAAGTTTCTGAGAATGCTTCTGTCGAGATTTTATATGAAGATATTCCCGTTTCCAACGAAATCCTGAAATCTATCCAAATATCCCCTCGCAGATTCTACAAAAAGAGTGTTTCAAAACTGCTCTGTAAAAACAAAGGTTCAACTCTGTTAGTTGAGTACACACATCACAAACAAGTTTCACAGAATGCTTCTGTCTAGATTTTATAGGAAGATATTCCCGTTTCCAGCGAAATCTTCACAGCTATCCAAATATCCACTTGCAGATTCTACAAAAAGAGTGTATCAAAACTGCTCTGTCAAAAGGAAGTTTCTTCTCTGTTAGGTGAGTGCATACGTCATAAAGGAGTTTCTGAGAATGTTTCTGTCTTGTGGTTATGGGAAGATATTTGCTTTTTCCCCGTAGGCCTCAGGGCGCTCCAAATGTCCACTTGCACATGCTACAAAAAGAGTGCTTCAAAGCTGCTCTCTGAAAGGGAATGTTCAACTCTATGAGTTGAATGCAAACATCACAAAGACGTTTCTGAGAATGCTTCTGTGTAGTTTTTATTTGAAGATATTTCCTTTCTCACCATAGACCTGAAAGCTGTCCTAATGTTCACTTCCAGATACTACAGAAAGAGTGTTTCAAAACTGCTGTACGAAAGGGAATGTTCAACTACTGTGACTTGAATGCACACATCACAAAGAAGTTTCTGAGGATGCTTCTGTCTAGTTTTTATTTGAAGATATATCCTTTCTCACTATAGACCTGAAAGCTGTCCTAAAGTTCACTTCCAGATACTACAGAAAGAGTGTTTCAAAACTGCTGTACGAAAGGGAATGTTCAACTACTGTGACTTGAATGCACACATCACAAGGATGTTTCTGAGGATGCTGCTGTCTACTTTTTATACGTAATCCCGTTTCCAACGAAATCCTCCAAGCTATCCAAATATCCACTTGCAGATTCCACAGAAAGACTGTTTCAAAACTGCTCTGTCAATAGAAAGGTTCAACTCTATTAGCTATGTGCATATATCCCAAAGAAAATTCTGAGATTGCTTCTGTCTAGTTTTTATGGGAAGATATTTCCCTTTTCACCGTAGGCGTCAAGGCGCTCCAAATGTCCACTTCCAGATACTACAAAAAGAGTGTTTCAAACCTACTCTGTGAAAGGGAATATTCAACTCTTTGACTTGAATGCACATATCACAAAGAAGTTTCTGAGAATGCTTCTGTCGAGATTTTATATGAAGATATTCCCGTTTCCAACGAAATCCTGAAATCTATCCAAATATCCCCTCGCAGATTCTACAAAAAGAGTGTTTCAAAACTGCTCTGTAAAAAGAAAGGTTCAACTCTGTCAGTTGAGTACACACATCACAAACAAGTTTCACAGAATGCTTCTTTCTAGCTTGTAGGGGAAGATATTCCCTTTATCACCATGGGCCTCAAACCGTCTGAAACGTCCACTTCCATATACTAGAAAAAGATCATTTCAAACCTGCTCTATGAAAGGCAATGTTCAACTCTGTGACTTGAATGCAGACATCACAGAGCAGTTTCTGAGAATGCTTCTGTCTAGATTTTATAGGAAGATATTCCCGTTTCCAACGAAATCTTCACAGCTATCCAAATATGCACTTGCAGATTCTACAAAAAGTGTGTATCAAAACTGCTCTGTCAAAAGGAAGGTTCTTCTCTGTTAGTTGAGTACATACGTCATAAAGGAGTTTCTGAGAATGTTTCTGTCTAGTGGTTATGGGAAGATATTTGCTTTTTCCCCGTAGGCCTCAGGGCGCTCCAAATGTCCACTTGCACATGCTACAATAAGAGTGTTTCCAACCTGCTCTATGAAACGGAAGGTTCAACTCTGTGACTTGATTGCAAACATCACGAAGGTGTTTCTGAGAATGCTTCTGTCTAGATTTGATATGAAGATATTCCCGTTTCCAACGACATCTTCAAATCTATCCAAATGTCCACTTGCAGATTTAACAAAACGTGTTTTTCAGAACTGCTCTATCAAAAGAAAGATCCACCTCTGTTAGCTGAGTTCACACATCACAAACAAGTTTATGAGAATGCTTCTGTCTAGTTTTTATTTGAAGATATTTCCTTTCTCACCATAGAGCTGAAAGCTGTCCTAATGTTCACTTCCAGATACTACAGAAAGAGTGTTTCAAAACTGCTGTACGAAAGGGAGTGTTCAACTCTGTGACTTGAATGCACACATCACAAAGAAGTTTCTGAGGATGCTGCTGTCTACTTTTTATACGTAATCCCGTTTCCAATGAAATGCTCCAAGCTATCCAAATATCCACTTGCAGATTCCACAGAAAGACTGTTTCAAAACTGCTCTGTCAATAGAAAGGTTCAACTCTGTTAGCTGCGTGCATATATCCCAAAGAAGATTCTGAGATTGCTTCTGTCTACTTTTTATGAGAAGATATTTCCCTTTTCACCGTAGGCGTCAAGGCGCTCCAAATGTCCACTTCCAGATACTACAAAAAGAGTGTTTCAAACCTACTCTGTGAAAGGGAATATTCAACTCTGTGACTTGAATGCACATATCACAAAGAAGCTTCTTAGAATGCTTCTGTCGAGATTTTATATGAAGATATTCCCGTTTCCAACGAAATCCTGAAATCTATCCAAATATCCCCTCGCAGATTCTACAGAAAGAGTGTTTCAAAACTGCTCTGTAAAAAGAAAGGTTCAACTCTGTTAGTTGAGCACACACATCACAAACAAGTTTCACAGAATGCTTCTTTCTAGCTTGTAGGGGAAGATATTCCCTTTATCACCATGGTCCTCAAACCGTCCGAAACGTCCACTTCCATATACTACAAAAAGAGCGTTTCAAACCTGCTCTATGAAAGGCAATGTTCAACTCTGTGACTTGAATGCAGACATCACAGAGCAGTTTCTGAGAATGCTTCTGTCTAGACTTTATAGGAAGATATTCCCGTTTCCAACGAAATCTTCACAGCTATCCAAATATCCACTTGCAGATTCTACAAAAAGAGTGTATCAAAACTGCTCTGTCAAAAGGAAGGTTCTTTTCTGTTAGGTGAGTGCATACGTCATAAAGGAGTTTCTGAGAATGTTTCTGTCTAGTGGTTACGGGAAGATATTTGCTTTTTCCCCGTAGGCCTCAGGGCACTCCAAATGTCCACTTGCACATGCTACAAAAAGAGTGCTTCAAAGCTGCTCTCTGGAAGGGAATGTTCAACTCTATGAGTTGAATGCAAACATCACAAAGACGTTTCTGAGAATGCTTCTGTCTAGACTTGATATGAAGATATTCCCGTTTCCAACGAAATCTTCAAATCTATCCAAATGTCCACTTGCAGATTCAACAAAAAGTGTTTTTCAGAAGTGCTCTATCAAAAGAAAGATCCACCTCTGTTAGCTGAGTTCACACATCACAAACAAGTTTATGAGAATGCTTCTGTCTAGTTTTTATTTGAAGATATTTCCTTTCTCACCATAGACCTGAAAGCTGTCCTAATGTTCACTTCCAGTTACTACAGAAAGAGTGTTTTAAAACTGCTGTACGAAAGGGAATGTTCAACTCTGTGACTTGAATGCACACATCTCAAAGAAGTTTCTGAGGATGCTGCTGTCTAATTTTTATACGTAATCCCGTTTCCAACGAAATCCTCCAAGCTATCCAAATATCCACTTGCAGATTCCACAGAAAGACTGTTTCAAAACTGCTCTGTCAATAGAAAGGTTCAACTCTGTTAGCTGCGTGCATATATCCCAAAGAAGATTGTGAGATTGCTTCTGTCTAGTTTTTATGGGAAGATTTTTCCCTTTTCACCGTAGGTGTCAAGGCGCTCCAAATGTCCACTTCCAGATACTACAAAAAGAGTGTTTCAAACCTACTCTGTGAAAGGGAATATTCAACTCTGTGACTTGAATGCACATATCACAAGGGAAGTTTCTGAGAATGCTTCTGTCGAGATTTTATATGAAGATATTCCCGTTTCCAACGAAATCCTGAAATGTATCCAAATATCCCCTCGCAGATTCTACAAAAAGAGTGTTTCAAAACTGCTCTGTAAAAAGAAAGGTTCAACTCTGTTAGTTGAGAACACACATCACAAACAAGTTTCACACAATGCTTCTTTCTAGCTTGTAGGGGAAGATATTCCCTTTATCACCGTGGGCCTCCAACCGTCCGAAACGTCCACTTCCATATACTACAAAAAGAGCGTTTCAAACCTGCTCTATGAAAGGCAATGTTCAACTCTGTGACTTGAATGCAGACATCACAGAGCAGTTTCTGAGAATGCTTCCGTCTAGATTTTATAGGAAGATATTCCCGTTTCCAACGAAATCTTCACAGCTATCCAAATATCCACTTGCAGATTCTACAAAAAGAGTGTATCAAAACTGCTCTGTCAAAAGGAAGGTTCTTCTCTGTTAGGTGAGTGCATACGTCATAAAGGAGTTTCTGAGAATGTTTTTGTCTAGTGGTTTTGGGAAGATATTTTCTTTTTCACCGTAGGCCTCACAGCGCACCAAATATCCACTTGCACATACTACAAAAAGAGTGCCTCAAAGCTGCTCTCTGAAACGGAATGTTCAACTCTATGGGTTGAATGCAAACATCACAAAGACGTTTCTGAGAATGCTTCTGTCTAGATTTGATATGAAGATATTCCCGTTTCCAACGAAATCTTCAAATCTATCCAAATGTCCACTTGCAGATTCAACAAAAAGTGTTTTTCAAAACTGCTGTATCAAAAGAAAGATCCACGTCTGTTAGCTGAGTTCACACATCAGAAACAAGTTTATGAGAATGCTTTCTGTCTAGTTTTTATTTGAAGATATTTCCTTTCTCACCATAGACCTGAAAGCTGTCCTAGTTTTCACTTCCAGATACTACAGAAAGAGTGTTTCAAAACTGCTGTACGAAAGGGAATATTCAACTCTGTGACTTGAATGCACACATCACAAAGAAGTTTCTGAGGATGCTGCTGTCTACTTTTTATACTTAATCCCGTTTCCAACGAAATCCTCCAAGCTAATCAAATATCCACTTGCAGATTCCACAGAAAGACTGTTTCAAAACTGCTCTGTCAATAGAAAGGTTCAACTCTGTTAGCTGCGTGCATATATCCCAAAGAAGATTCTGAGATTGCTTCTGTCTAGTTTTTATGGGAAGATATTTCCCTTTTCACCGTAGGCGTCAAGGCGCTCCAAATGTCCACTTCCAGATACTACTAAAAGAGGGTTTCAAACTTACTCTGTGAAAGGGAATATTCAACTCTGTAACTTGAATGCACATATCACAAAGAAGTTTCTGAGAATGCTGCTGTCGAGATTTTATATGAAGATATTCCCGTTTCCAACGAAATCCTGAAATCTATCCAAATATCCCCTCGCAGATTCTACAAAAAGAGTGTTTCAAAACTGCTCTGTAAAAAGAAAGGTTCAACTCTGTTAGTTGAGTACACACATCACAAACAAGTTTCACAGAATGCTTCTTTCTAGCTTGTAGGGGAAGATATTCCCTTTATCACCATGGGCCTCAAACCGTCCGAAACGTCCACTTCCATGTACTACAAAAAGAGCTTTTCAAACCTGTTCTAGGAAAGGCAATGTTCAACTCTGTGACTTGAATGCAGACATCACAGAGCAGTTTCTGAGAATGCTTCTGTCTAGATTTTATAGGAAGATATTCCCGTTTCCAACGAAATCTTCACAGCTATCCAAATATCCACTTGCAGATTCTACAAAAAGAGTGTATCAAAACTGCTCTGTCAAAAGGAAGGTTCTTCTCTGTTAGTTGAGCACATACGTCATAAAGGAGTTTCTGAGAATGTTTCTGTCAAGTGGTTATGGGAAGATATTTGCTTTTTCCCCGTAGGCCTCAGGGCGCTCCAAATGTCCACTTGCACATGCTACAAAAAGAGTGCTTCAAAGCTACTCTCTGGAAGGGAATGTTCAACTCTATGAGTTGAATGCAAACATCACAAAGACGTTTCTGAGAATGCTTCTGTCTAGATTTGATATGAAGATATTCCCGTTTCCAACGAAATCTTCAAATCTATCCAAATGTCCACTTGCAGATTCAACAAAAAGTGTTTTTCAAAACTGCTGTATCAAAAGAAAGATCCACGTCTGTTAGCTGAGTTCACACATCACAAAGAAGTTTATGAGAATGCTTCTGTCTAGTTTTTATTTGAAGATATTTCCTTTCTCACCATAGACCTGAAAGCTGTCCTAATGTTCACTTCCAGATACTACAGAAAGAGTGTTTCAAAACTGCTGTAGGAAAGGGAATGTTCAACTCTGTGACTTGAATGCACACATCACAAAGAAGTTTCTGAGGATGCTGCTGTCTACTTTTTATACGTAATCCCGTTTCCAACGAAATCCTCCAAGCTATCCAAATATCCACTAGCAGATTCCACAGAAAGACTGTTTCAAAACTGCTCTGTCAATAGAAAGGTTCAACTCTATTAGCTGCGTACATATATCCCAAAGAAGATTCTGAGATTGCTTCTGTCTAGTTTTTATGGGAAGATATTTCCCTTTTCACCATAGGCGTCAAGGCGCTCCAAATGTCCACTTCCAGATACTACAAAAAGAGTGTTTCAAACCTACTCTGTGAAAGGGAATATTCAACTCTGTGACTTGAATGCACATATCACAAAGAAGTTTCTGAAAATGCTTCTGTCGAGATTTTATATGAAGATATTCCAGTTTCCAACGAAATCCTGAAATCTATCCAAATATCCCCTCGCAGATTCTACAAAAAGAGTGTTTCAAAACTGCTCTGTATAAAGAAAGGTTCAACACTGTTAGTTGAGTACACACATCACAAACAAGTTTCACAGAATGCTTCTTTCTAGCTTGTAGGGGAAGATATTCCCTTTATCACCATGGGCCTCAAACCGTCCGAAACGTCTACTTCCATATACTACAAAAAGAGCGTTTCAAACCTGCTCTACGAAAAGCAATGTTCAACTCTGTGACTTGAATGCAGACATCACAGAGCAGTTTCTGAGAATGCTTCTGTCTAGATTTTATAGGAGGATATTCCCGTTTCCAACGAAATCTTCACAGCTATCCAAATATCCACTTTCAGATTCTACAAAAAGAGTGTATCAAAACTGCTCTGTCAAAAGGAAGGTTCTTCTCTGTTAGGTGAGTGCATACGTCATAAAGGAGTTTCTGAGAATGTTTCTGTCTAGTGGTTATGGGAAGATATTTGCTTTTTCACCTTAGGCCTCAGAGCTCTCCAAATACCCCCTTGCACATACTACAAAAAGAGTGCTTCAAAGCTGCTCTCTGAAAGGGAATGTTCAACTCTATGAGTTGAATGCAAACATCACAAAGACGTTTCTGAGAATGCTTCTGTCTAGATTTGATATGAAGATATTCCCGTTTCCAACGAAATCTTCAAATCTATCCAAATGTCCACTTGCAGATTCAACAAAAAGTGTTTTTCAGAACTGCTCTATCAAAAGAAAGATCCACCTCTCTTAGCTGAGTTCACACATCACAAACAAGTTTATGAGAATTCTTCTGTCTAGTTTTCATTTGAAGATATTTCCTTTCTCACCATAGAGCTGAAAGCTGTCCTAATGTTCACTTCCAGATACTACAGAAAGAGTGTTTCAAAACTGCTGTACGAAAGGGAATGTTCAACTCTGTGACTTGAATGCACACATCACAAAGAAGTTTCTGAGGATGCTGCTGTCTACTTTTTATACGTAATCCCGTTTCCAACGAAATCCTCCAAGCTATCCAAATATCCACTTGCAGATTCCACAGAAAGACTGTTTCAAAACTGCTCTGTCAATAGAAAGGTTCAAATCTGTTAGCTGCGTGCATATATCCCAAAGAAGATTCTGAGATTCCTTCTGTCTAGTTTTTATGGGAAGATATTTCCCTTTTCACCGTGGGCGTCAAGGCGCTCCAAATGTCCACTTCCAGATACTACAAAAAGAGTGTTTCAAACCTACTCTGTGAAAGGGAATATTCAACGCTGTGACTTGAATGCACATATCACAAGGAAGTTTCTGAGAATGCTTCTGTCGAGATTTTATATGAAGATATTCCCGTTTCCAACGAAATCCTGAAATCTATCCAAATATCCCCTCGTAGATTCTACAAAAAGAGTGTTTCAAAACTGCTCTGTAAAAAGAAAGGTTCAACTCTGTTAGTTGAGTACACACATCACAAACAAGTTTCACAGAATGCTTCTTTCTAGCTTGTAGGGGAAGATATTCCCTTTATCACCATGGGCCTCAAACCGTCCGAAACGTCCACTTCCATATACTACAAAAAGAGTGTTTCAAACCTGCTCTATGAACGGCAATGTTCAACTCTGTGACCTTGAATGCAGACATCACAGAGCAGTTTCTGAGAATGCTTCTGTCTAGATTTTATAGGAAGATATTCCCGTTTCCAACGAAATCTTCACAGCTATTCAAATATCCACTTGCAGATTCTACAAAAAGAGTGTATCAAAACTGCTCTGTCAAAAGGAAGGTTCTTCTCTGTTAGGTGAGTGCATACGTCATAAAGGAGTTTCTGAGAATGTTTCTGTCTAGTGGTTATGGGAAGATATTTGCTTTTTCACCGTAGGCCTCAGAGCGCTCCAAATATCCACTTGCACATACTACAAAAAGAGTGCTTCAAAGCTGCTCTCTGAAAGGGTATGTTCAACTCTATGAGTTGAATGCAAACATCACAAAGACGTTTCTGAGAATGCTTCTGTCTAGATTTGATATGAAGATATTCCCGTTTCCAACGAAATCTTCAAATCTATCCAAATGTCCACTTGCAGATTCAACAAAAAGTGTTTTTCAGAACTGCTCTATCAAAAGAAAGATCCACCTATGTTAGCGGAGTTCACACATCACAAACAAGTTTATGAGAATGCTTTCTGTCTAGTTTTTATTTGAAGATATTTCCTTTCTCACCATAGAGCTGAAAGCTGTCCTAATGTTCACTTCCAGATACTACAGAAAGAGTGTTTCAAAACTGCTGTACGAAAGGGAATGTTCAACTCTGTGACTTGAATGGACACATCACAAAGAAGTTTCTGAGGATGCTGCTGTCTACTTTTTATACGTAATCCCGTTTCCAACGAAATCCTCCAAGCTATCCAAATATCCACTTGCAGATTCCACAGAAAGACTGTTTCAAAACTGCTCTGTCAATAGAAAGGTTCAACTCTGTTAGCTGCCTGCATATATCCCAAAGAAGATTCTGAGATTGCTTGTGTCTACTTTTTATGAGAAGATATTTCCCTTTTCACCATAGGCGTCAAGGCGCTCCAAATGTCCACTTACAGATACTACAAAAAGAGTGTTTCAAACCTACTCTGTGAAAGGGAATATTCAACTCTGTGACTTGAATGCAGATATCACAAAGAAGTTTCTGAGAATGCTTCTGTCGAGATTTTATATGAAGATATTCCCGTTTCCAACGAAATCCTGAAATCTATCCAAATATCCCCTCGCAGATTCTACAAAAAGAGTGTTTCAAAACTGCTCTGTAAAAAGAAAGGTTCAACTCTCTTAGTTGAGTACACACATCACAAACAAGTTTCACAGAATGCTTCTTTCTAGCTTGTAGGGGAAGATATTCCCTTTATCACCATGGGCCTCAAACCGTCCGAAACGTCTATTTCCATATACTACAAAAAGAGCGTTTCAAACCTGCTCTATGAAAGGCAATGTTCAACTCTGTGACTTGAATGCAGACATCACAGAGCAGTTTCTGAGAATGCTTCTGTCTAGATTTTATAGGAAGATATTCCCGTTTCCAACGAAATCTTCACAGCTATCCAAATATCCACTTGCAGATTCTGCAAAAAGAGTGTATCAAAAGTGCTCAGTCAAAAGGAAGGTTCTTCTCTGTTAGGTGAATGCATACGTCATAAAGGAGTTTCTGAGAATGTTTCTGTCTAGTGGTTATGGGAAGATATTTGCTTTTTCACCGTAGGCCTCAGAGCGCTCCAAATATCCACTTGCACATACTACAAAAAGAGTGCTTCAAAGCTGCTCTCTGAAACGGAATGTTCAACTCTAGGAGTTGAATGCAAACATCACAAAGACGTTTATGAGAATGCTTCTGTCTAGATTTGATATGAAGATATTCCCGTTTCCAACGAAATCTTCAAATCTATCCAAATGTCCACTTGCAGATTCAACAAAAATTGTTTTTCAGAACTGCTCTATCAAAAGAAAGATCCACCTCTGTTAGCTGAGTTCACACATCACAAACAAGTTTATGAGAATGCTTCTGTCTAGTTTTTATTTGAAGATGTTTCCTTTCTCACCATAGACCTGAAAGCTGTCCTAATGTTCACTTCCAGATACTACAGAAAGAGTGTTTCAAAACTGCTGTACGAAAGGGAATGTTCAACTCTGTGACTTGAATGCACACATCACAAAGAAGTTTTCTGAGGATGCTGCTGTCTACTTTTTATACGGTAATCCCGTTTCCAACGAAATCCTCCAATCTATCCAAATATCCACTTGCAGATTCCACAGAAAGACTGTTTCAAAACTGCTCTGTCAATAGAAAGGTTCAACTCTGTTAGCTGCGTGCATATATCCCAAAGAAGATTCTGAGATTGCTTTTGTCTAGTTTTTATGGGAAGATATTTCCCTTTTCACCGTAGGCGTAAAGGCGCTCCAAATGTCCACTTCCAGATACTACAAAAAGAGTGTTTCAAACCTACTCTGTGAAAGGGAATATTCAACTCTGTGACTTGAAGGCAGATATCACAAAGAAGTTTCTGAGAATGCTTCTGTCGAGATTTTATATGAAGATATTCCCGTTTCCAACGAAATGCTGAAATCTATCCAAATATCCCCTCGCAGATTCTACAAAAAGAGTGTTTCAAAACTGCTCTGTAAAAAGAAAGGTTCAACTCTGTTACTTGAGTACACACATCACAAACAAGTTTCAGAGAATGCTTCTTTCTAGCTTGTAGGGGAAGATATTCCCTTTATGACCATGGGCCTCAAACCGTCCGAAACGTCCACTTCCATATACTACAAAAAGAGTGTTTCAAACCTGCTCTATGAACGGCAATGTTCAACTCTGTGACTTGAATGCAGACATCACAGAGCAGTTTCTGAGAATGCTTCTGTCTAGATTTTATAGGAAGATATTCCCGTTTCCAAAGAAATCTTCACAGCTATCCAAATATCCACTTTCAGATTCTACAAAAAGAGTGTATCAAAAGTGCTCTGTCAAAAGGAAGGTTCTTCTCTGTTAGGTGAGTGCATACGTCATAAAGGAGTTTCTGAGAATGTTTCTGTCTAGTGGTTATGGGAAGATATTTGCTTTTTCACCGTAGGCCTCAGAGCGCTCCAAATATCCCCTTGCACATACTACAAAAAGAGTGCTTCAAAGCTGCTCTCTGAAACGGAATGTTCAACTCTATGAGTTGAATGCAAACATCACAAAGACGTTTCTGAGAATGCTTCTGTCTAGATTTGATATGACGATATTCCCGTTTCCAACGAAATCTTCAAATCTATCCAAATGTCCACTTGCAGATTCAACAAAACGTGTTTTTCAGAACTGCTCTATCAAAAGAAAGATCCACGTCTGTTAGCTGAGTTCACACATCACAAACAAGTTTATGAGAATGCTTCTGTCTAGTTTTTATTTGAAGATATTTCCTTTCTCACCATAGAGCTGAAAGCTGTCCTAATGTTCACTTCCAGATACTATAGAAAGAGTGTTTCAAAACTGCTGTACGAAAGGGAATGTTCAACTCTGTGACTTGAATGCACACATCACAAAGAAGTTTACTGAGGATGCTGGTGTCTACTTTTTATACGTAATCCCGTTTCCAACGAAATCCTCCAAGCTATCCAAATATCCACTTGCAGATTCCACAGAAAGACTGTTTCAAAACTGCTCTGTCAATAGAAAGGTTCAACTCTGTTAGCTGCCTGCATATATCCCAAAGAAGATTCTGAGATTGCTTCTGTCTAGTTTTTATGGGAAGATATTTCCCTTTTCACCGTAGGTGTCAAGGCGCTCCAAATGCCCACTTCCAGATACTACAAAAAGAGTGTTTCAAACCTACTCTGTGAAAGGGAATATTCAACTCTGTGACTTAAAGGCAGATATCACAAAGAAGTTTCTGAGAATGCTTCTGTCGAGATTTTATATGAAGATATTCCCGTTTCCAACGAAATCCTGAAATGTATCCAAATATCCCCTCGCAGATTCTACAAAAAGAGTGTTTCAAAACTGCTCTGTAAAAAGAAAGGTTCAACTCTGTTAGTTGAGTACAAACATCACAAACAAGTTTCACACAATGCTTCTTTCTAGCTTGTAGGGGAAGATATTCCCTTTATCACCATGGGCCTCAAACCGTCCGAAACGTCCTCTTCCATATAGTACAAAAAGAGCGTTTCAAACCTGCTCTATGAAAGGCAATGTTCAACTCTGTGACTTGAATGCAGACATCACAGAGCAGTTTGCTGAGAATGCTTCTGTCTAGGTTTTATAGGAAGATATTCCCGTTTCCAACGAAATCTTCACAGCTATCAAAATATCCACTTGCAGATTCTACAAAAGGAGTGTATCAAAACTGCTCTGTCAAAAGGAAGGTTCTTCTCTGTTAGGTGAGTGCATACGTCATAAAGGAGTTTCTGAGAATGTTTCTGTCTAGTGGTTATGGGAAGATATTTGCTTTTTCCCCGTAGGCCTCAGGGCGCTCCAAATGTCCACTTGCACATGCTACAAAAAGAGTGCTTCAAATCTGCTCTCTGAAAGGGAATGTTCAACTCTATGAGTTGAATGCAAACATCACAAAGACGTTTCTGAGAATGCTTCTGTCTAGATTTAATATGAAGATATTCCCGTTTCCAACGAAATCTTCAAATCTATCCAAATGTCCACTTGCAGATTCAACAAAAAGTGTTTTTCAGAACTGCTCTATCAAAAGAAAGATCCACCTCTGTAAGCTGAGTTCACACATCACAAACAAGTTTATGAGAATGCTTCTGTCTAGTTTTTATTTGAAGATATTTCCTTTCTCACCATAGACCTGAAAGCTGTCCTAATGTTCATTTCCAGTTACTACAGAAAGAGTGTTTCAAAACTGCTGTACGAAAGGGAATGTTCAACTCTGTGACTTGAATGCACACATCACAAAGAAGTTTCTGAGGATGCTGCTGTCTACTTTTTATACTTAATCCCGTTTCCAACGAAATCCTCCAAGCTATCCAAATATCCACTTGCAGATTCCACAGAAAGACTGTTTCAAAACTGCTCTGTCAATAGATAGGTTCAACTCTGTTAGCTGCGTGCATATATCCCAAAGAAGATTCTGAGATTGCTTCTGTCTAGTTTTTATGGGAAGATATTTCCCTTTTCACCATAGGTGTCAAGGCGCTCCAAATGTCCACTTCCAGATACTACAAAAAGAGTGTTTCAAACCTACTCTGTGAAAGGGAATATTCAACCCTGTGACTTGAATGCACATATCACAAAGAAGTTTCTGAGAATGCTTCTGTCGAGATTTTATATGAAGATATTCCCGTTTCCAACGAAATCCTGAAATCAATCCAAATATACCCTCGCAGATTCTACAAAAAGAATGTTTCAAAACTGCTCTGTAAAAAGAAAGGTTCAACTCTGTTAGTTGAGTACACACATCACAAACAAGTTTCACAGAATGCTTCTTTCTAGCTTGTAGGGGAAGATATTCCCTTTATCACCATGGGCCTCAAACCGTCCGAAACGTCCACTTCCATATACTACAAAAAGAGCGTTTCAAAACTGCTCTATGAAAGGCAATGTTCAACTCTGTGACTTGAATGCAGACATCACAGAGCAGTTTCTGAGAATGCTTCTGTCTAGATTTTATAGGAAGCTATTCCCGTTTCCAACGAAATCTTCACAGCTATCCAAATATCCACTTGCAGATTCTACAAAAAGAGTGTATCAAAACTGCTCTGTCAAAAGGAAGGTTCTTCTCTGTTAGGTGAGTGCATACGTCATAAAGGAGTTTCTGAGAATGTTTCTGTCTAGTGGTTATGGGAAGATATTTGCTTTTTCCCCGTAGGCCTCAGGGCGCTCCAAATGTCCACTTGCACATGCTACAAAAAGAGTGCTTCAAAGCTGCTCTCTGGAAGGGAATGTTCAACTCTATGAGTTGAATGCAAACATCACAAAGACGTTTCTGAGAATGCTTCTGTCTAGATTTGATATGAAGATATTCCCGTTTCCAACGAAACCTTCAAATCTATCCAACTGTCCTCTTGCAGATTCAACAAAAAGTGTTTTTCAGAACTGCTCTATCAAAAGAAAGATCCACCGTGTGTTAGCTGAGTTCACACATCACGAACAAGTTTATGAGAATGCTTCTGTCTAGTTTTTATTTGAAGATATTTCCTTTCTCACCATAGACCTGAAAGCTGTCCTAATGTTCACTTCCAGATACTACAGAAAGAGTGTTTCAAAACTGCTGTACGAAAGGGAATGTTCAACTCTGTGACTTGAATGCAGACATCACAAAGAAGTTTCTGAGGATGCTGCTGTCTACTTTTTATACGTAATCCCGTTTCCAACGAAATCCTCCAATCCATCCAAATATCCACTTGCAGATTCCACAGAAAGACTGTTTCAAAACTGCTCTGTCAATAGGAAGGTTGAACTCTGTTAGCTGCGTGCATATATCCCAAAGAAGATTCTGAGATTGCTTCTGTCTAGTTTTTATGGGAAGATATTTCCCTTTTCACCGTAGGTGTCAAGGCGCTCCAAATGTCCACTTCCAGATACTACAAAGAGAGTGTTTCAAACCTACTCTGTGAAAGGGAATATTCAACTCTGTGACTTGAATGCACATATCACAAAGAAGTTTCTGAGAATGCTTCTGTCGAGATTTTATATTAAGATATTCCCGTTTCCAACGAAATCCTGAAATCTATCCAAATATCCCCTCGCAGATTCTACAAAAAGAGTGTTTCAAAACTGCTCTGTAAAAAGAAAGGTTCAACTCTGTTAGTTGAGTACACACATCAAAAACAAGTTTCACAGAATGCTTCTTTCTAGCTTGTAGGGGAAGATATTCCCTTTATCACCATGGGCCTCAAACCGTCTGAAACGTCCACTTCCATATACTACAAAAAGAGCATTTCAAACCTGCTCTATGAAAGGCAATCTTCAACTCTGTGACTTGAATGCAGACATCACAGAGCAGTTTCTGAGAATGCTTCTGTCTAGATTTGATATGAAGATATTCCCGTTTCCAAAGAAATCTTCAGAGCTATCCAAATATCCACTTGCAGATTCTACAAAAAGAGTGTATCAAAAATGCTCTGTCAAAAGGTAGGTTCTTCTCTGTTAGTTGAGTACATACGTCAGAAAGAAGTTTCTGAGAATGTTTCTGTCTAGTGGTTATGGGAAGATATTTGCTTTTTCACCGTAGGCCTCAGAGCGCTCCAAATATCCACTTGCACATACTACAAAAAGAGTGCCTGAAAGCTGCTCTCTGAAACGGAATGTTCAACTCTATGAGTTGAATGCAAACATCGCAAAGACGTTTCTGAGAATGCTTCTGTATAGATTTGATATGAAGATATTCCCGTTTCCAATGAAATCTTCATATCTATCCAATGTCCACTTGCAGATTCAACAAAAAGTGTTTTTCAAAACTGCTGTATCAAAAGAAAGATCCACGTCTGTTAGCTGAGTTCACACATCACAAACAAGTTTATGAGAATGCTTCTGTCTAGTTTTTATTTGAAGATATTTCCTTTATCACCATAGACCTGAAAGCTGTCCTAATATTCACTTCCAGATACTACAGAAAGAGTGTTTCAAAACTGCTGTACGAAAGGGAATGTTCAACTCTGTGACTTGAATGCACACATCACAAAGAAGTTTCTGAGGATGCTGCTGGCTACTTTGTATAGGTAATCCCGTTTCCAACGAAATCCTCCAAGCTATCCAAATATCCACTTGCAGATTCCACAGAAAGACTGTTTCAAAACTGCTCTGTCAATAGAAAGGTTCAACTCTGTTAGCTGCGTGCATATATCCCAAAGAAGATTCTCAGATTGCTTCTGTCTACTTTTTATGAGAAGATATTTCCCTTTTCACCGTAGGTGTCAAGGCGCTCCAAATGTCCACTTCCAGATACTAGAAAAAGAGTGTTTCAAACCTACTCTGTGAAAGGGAATATTCAACTCTGTGACTTGAATGCACATATCACAAAGAAGCTTCTGAGAATGCTTCTGTCGAGATTTTATATAAAGATATTCCGGTTTCCAACAAAATCCTGAAATCTATCCAAATATCCCCTCGCAGATTCTACAAAAAGAGTGTTTCAAAACTGCTCTGTAAAAAGAAAGGTTCAACTCTGTTAGTTGAGTACACACATCACAAACAAGTTTCACAGAATGCTTCTTTCTAGCTTGTAGGGGAAGATATTCCCTTTATCACCATGGGCCTCAAACCGTCCGAAACGTCCACTTCTATATACTACAAAAAGAGCGTTTCAAACCTGCTCTAGGAAAGGCAATGTTCAACTCTGTGACTTGAATGCAGACATCACAGAGCAGTTTCTGAGAATGCTTCTGTCTAGATTTTATAGGAAGATATTCCCGTTTCCAACGAAATCTTCACAGCTATCCAAATATCCACTTGTAGATTCTACAAAAAGAGTGTATCAAAACTGCTCTGTCAAAAGGAAGGTTCTTCTCTGTTAGTTGAGTACATACGTCATAAAGGAGTTTCTGAGAATGTTTCTGTCTAGTGGTTATGGGAAGATATTTGCTTTTTCACCGTAGGCCTCAGAGCGCTCCAAGTATCCACTTGCACATACTACAAAAAGAGTGCTTCAAAGCTGCTCTCTGAAAGGGAATGTTCAACTCTATGAGTTGAATGCAAACATCACAAAGACGTTTCTGAGAATGCTTCTGTCTAGATTTGATATGAAGATATTCCCGTTTCCAACGAAATCTTCAAATCTATACAAATGTCCACTTGCAGATTCAACAAAAAGTGTTTTTCAGAACTGCTCTATCAAAAGAAAGATCCAACTCTGTTAGCTGAGTTCACACATCACAAACAAGTTTATGAGAATGCTTCTGTCTAGTTTTTATTTGAAGATATACCTTTTCTCACTATAGACCTCAAAGCTCTCCTAATGTTCACTTCCAGATACTACAGAAAGAGTGTTTCAAAACTGCTGTACGAAAGGGAATGTTCAACTGTGTGTCTTGAATGCACACATCACAAGGAAGTTTCTGAGGATGCTGCTGTCTACTTTTTATACATAATCCCTTTTCCAACGAAATCCTCCAAGCTATCCAAATATCCACTTGCAGATTCCACAGAAAGACTGTTTCAAAACTGCTCTGTCAATAGAAAGGTTCAACTCTGTTAGCTGCGTGCATATATCCCAAAGAAGATTCGGAGATTGCTTGTCTGTCTAGTTTTTATGGGAAGATATTTCCCTTTTCATCGTAGGCGTCAAGGCGCTCCAAATGTCCACTTCCAGATACTACAAAAAGAGTGTTTCAAACCTACTCTGTGAAAGGGAATATTCAACTCTGTGACTTGAATGCAGATATCACAAAGACGTTTCTGAGAATGCTTCTGTCGAGATTTTATTTGAAGATATTCCCGTTTCCAACGAAATGCTGAAATCTATCCAAATATCCCCTCGCAGATTCTACAAAAAGAGTGTTTCAAAACTGCTCTGTGAAAAGAAAGGTTCAACTCTGTTAGTTGAGTACACACATCACAAACAAGTTTCACAGAATGCTTCTTTCTAGCTTGTAGGGGAAGATATTCCCTTTATCACCATGGGCCTCAAACCGTCCGAAACGTCCACTTCCATATACTACAAAAAGAGCGTTTCAAACCTGCTCTATGAAAGGCAATGTTCAACTCTGTGACTTGAATGCAGACATCACAGAGCAGTTTCTGAGAATGCTTATCTGTCTAGATTTTATAGGAAGATATTCCCGTTTCCAACGAAATCTTCACAGCTATCCAAATATCCACTTGCAGACTCTACAAAAAGAGTGTATCAAAACTGCTCTGTCAAAAGGAAGGTTCTTCTCTGTTAGGTGAGTGCATTACGTCATAAAGGAGTTTCTGAGAATGTTTCTGTCTAGTGTTTATGGGAAGATATTTGCTTTTTCACCGTAGGCCTCAGAGCGCTCCAAATATCCACTTGCACATACTACAAAAAGAGTGCCTCAAAGCTGCTCTCTGAAACGGAATGTTCAACTCTATGAGTTGAATGCCAACATCACAAAGACGTTTCTGAGAATGCTTCTGTCTAGATTTGATATGAAGATATTCCCGTTTCCAACGAAATCTTGAAATCTATCCGAATGTCCACTTGCAGATTCAACAAAAAGTGTTTTTCAGAACTGCTCTATCAAAAGAAAGATCCACCTCTGTTAGCTGAGTTCACACATCACAAACAAGTTTATGAGAATGCTTCTGTCTAGTTTTTATTTGAAGGTATTTCCTTTCTCACCATAGACCTGAAAGCTGTCCTAATGTTCACTTCCAGATACTACAGAAAGAGTGTTTCAAAACTGCTGTACGAAAGGGAATGTTCAACTCTCTGACTTGAATGCACACATCACAAAGAAGTTTCTGAGGATGCCGCTGTCTACTTTTTATACGTAATCCCGTTTCCAACGAAATCCTCCAAGCTATCCAAACATCCACTTGCAGATTCCACAGAAAGACTGTTTCAAAACTGCTCTGTCAATAGAAAGGTTCAACTCTGTTAGCTGCGTGCATATATCCCAAAGAAGATTCTGAGATTGCTTCTGTCTAGTTTTTATGGGAAGATATTTCCCTTTTCACCGTAGGCGTCAAGGCGCTCCAAATGTCCACTTCCAGATACTACAAAAAGAGTGTTTCAAACCTACTTGGTGAAAGGGAATATTCAACTCTGTGACTTGAATGCACATATCACAAAGAAGTTTCTGAGAATGCTTCTGTCGAGATTTTATATGAAGATATTCCCGTTTCCAACGAAATCCTGAAATCTATCCAAATATCCCCTCGCAGATTCTGCAAAAAGAGTGTTTCAAAACTGCTCTGTGAAAAGAAAGGTTCAACTCTGTTAGTTGAGTACACACCTCACAAACAAGTTTCACAGAATGCTTCTTTCTAGCTTGTAGGGGAAGATATTCCCTTTATCACCATGGGCCTCAAACCGTCTGAAACGTCCACTTCCATATACTACAAAAAGAGCGTTTGAAACCTGTTCTAAGAAAGGCAATGTTCAACTCTGTGACTTGAATGCAGACATCACAGAGCAGTTTCTGAGAATGCTTCTGTCTAGATTTTATAGGAAGATATTCCCGTTTCCAACGAAATCTTCACAGCTATCCAAATATCCACTTGCAGATTCTACAAAAAGAGTGTATCAAAACTGCTCTGTCAAAAGTAAGGTTCTTCTCTGTTAGGTGAGTGCATACGTCATAAAGGAGTTTCTGAGAATGTTTCTGTCTAGTGGTTATGGGAAGATATTTGCTTTTTCACCGTAGGCCTCAGAGCGCTCCAAATATCCACTTGCGCATACTACAAAAAGAGTGCTTCAAAGCTGGTCTCTGAAACGGAATGTTCAACTCTATGAGTTGAATGCAAACATCACAAAGACGTTTCTGAGAATGCTTTTGTCTAGATTTGATATGAAGATATTCCCGTTTCCAACGAAATCTTCAAATCTATCCAAATGTCCACTTGCAGATTCTACAAAAAGTGTTTTTCAAAACTGCTGTATCAAAAGAAAGATCCACGTCTGTTAGCTGAGTTCACACATCACAAACAAGTTTATGAGAATGCTTCTGTCTAGTTTTTATTTGAAGATATTTCCTTTCTCACCATAGACCTGAAAGCAGTCCTAATGTTCACTTCCAGATACTACAGAAAGAGTGTTTCAAAACTGCTGTACGAAAGGGAATGTTCAACACTGTGACTTGAATGCACACATCACAAAGAAGTTTCTGAGGATGCTGCTGTCTACTTATTATACGTAATCCCGTTTCCAACGAAATCCTCCAAGCTATCCAAATATCCACTTGCAGATTCCACAGAAAGACTGTTTCAAAACTGCTCTGTCAATAGAAAGGTTCAACTCTGCTAGCTGCGTGCATATATCCCAAAGAAGATTCTGAGATTGCTTCTGTCTAGTTTTTATGAGAAGATATTTCCCTTTTCACCGTAGGCGTCAAGGCGCTCCAAATGTCCACTTCCAGATACTACAAAAAGAGTGTTTCAAACCTACTCTGTGAAAGGGAATATTCAACTCTGTGACTTGAATGCACATATCACAAAGAAGCTTCTGAGAATGCTTCTGTCGAGATTTTATATGAAGATATTCCCGTTTCCAACGAAATCCTGAAATCTATCCAAATATCCCCTCGCAGATTCTACAAAAAGAGTGTTTCAAAACTGCTCTGTAAAAAGAAAGGTTCAACTCTGTTAGTTGAGTACACACATCACAAACAAGTTTCACAAAATGCTTCTTTCTAGCTTGTAGGGGAAGATATTCCCTTTATCACCATGGGCCTCAAACCGTCCGAAACGTCCACTTCCATATACTACAAAAAGAGCATTTCAAACCTGCTCTAGGAAAGGCAATGTTCAACTCTGTGACTTGAATGCAGACATCACAGACCAGTTTCTGAGAATGCTTCTGTCTAGATTTTATAGGAAGATATTCCCGTTTCCAACGAAATCTTCACAGCTATCCAAATATCCACTTGCAGATTCTACAAAAAGAGTGTATCAAAACTGCTCAGTCAAAAGGAAGGTTCTTCTCCTGTTAGGTGAGTGCATACGTCATAAAGGGGTTTCTGAGAATGTTTCTGTCTAGTGGTTACGGGAAGATATTTGCTTTTTCCCCGTAGGGCTCAAAGCGCTCCAAATGTCCACTTGCACATACTACAAAAACAGTGCTTCAAAGCTGCTCTCTGAAAGGGAATGTTCAACACTATGAGTTGAATGCAAACATCACAAAGACGTTTCTGAGAATGCTTCTGTCTAGATTTGAAATGAACATATTCTCGTTTTCAACGAAATCTTCAAATCTATCCAAATGTCTACTTGCAGATTCAACAAAAAGTGTTTTTCAAAACTGCTGTGTCGAAAGAAAGATCCACCTCTGTTAGCTGAGTTCACACTTCACAAACAAGTTTATCAGAATGCTTCTGTCTAGTTTTTATTTGAAGATATTTCCTTTCTCACCATAGACCTGAAAGCTGTCCTAATGTTCACTTCCATATACTACAGAAAGAGCGTTTCAAAACTGCTGTACGAAAGGGAATGTTCAACTCTGTGACTTGAATGCACACATCACAAAGAAGTTTCTGAGGATGCTGCTGTCTACTTTTTATACGTAATCCCGTTTCCAACGAAATCCTCCAAGCTATCCAAATATCCACTTGCAGATTCCACAGAAAGACTGTTTCAAAACTGCTCTGTCAATAGAAAGGTTCAACTCTGTTAGCTGCGTGGATATATCCCAAAGAAGATTCTGAGATTGCTTCTGTCTAGTTATTATGGGAAGATATTTCCCTTTTCACCGTAGGTGTCAATGTGCTCCAAATGTCCACTTTCAGACACTACAAAAAGAGTGTTTCAAACCTACTCTGTGAAAGGGAATATTCAACTCTGTGACTTGAATGCAGATAACACAAAGAAGTTTCTGAGAATGCTTCTGTCGAGATTTTATATGAAGATATTCCCGTTTCCAACGAAATCCTGAAATGTATCCAAATATCCCCTGGCAGATTCTACAAAAAGAGTGTTTCAAAACTGCTCTGTAAAAAGAAAGGTTCAACTCTGTTAGTTGAGTACACACATCACAAACAAGTTTCACAGAATGCTTCTTTCTAGCTTGTAGGGGAAGATATTCCCTTTATCACCATGGGCCTCCAACCGTCCGAAACATCCACTTCCATATACTACAAAAAGAGCGTTTCAAACCTGCTCTATCAAAGGCAATGTTCAACTCTGTGACTTGAATACAGACATCACAGAGCAGTTTCTGAGAATGCTTCTGTCTAGATTTTATAGGAAGATATTCCCGTTTCCAACGAAATCTTCACAGGTATCCAAATATCCACTTGCAGATTCTACAAAAAGAGTGTATCAAAACTGCTCTGTCAAAAGGAAGGTTCTTCTCTGTTAGGTGAGTGCATACCTCATAAAGGAGTTTCTGAGAATGTTTCTCTCTAGTGGTTATGGGAAGATATTTGCTTTTTCCCCGTAGGCCTCAGGGCGCTCCAAATGTCCACTTGCACATGCTACAAAAAGAGTGCTTCAAAGCTGCTCTCTGAAAGGGAATGTTCAACTCTATGAGTTGAATGCAGACATCACAAAGACGTTTCTGAGAATGCTTCTGTCTAGATTTGATATGAAGATATTCCCGTTTCCAACGAAATCTTCATATCTATCCAAATGTCCACTTGCAGATTCAACAAAAAGTGTTTTTCAAAACTGCTGTATCAAAAGAAAGATCCACCTCTGTTAGCTGAGTTCACACATCACAAACAAGTTTATGAGAAAGCTTCTGTCTAGTTTTTATTTGAAGATATATCCTTTCTCACTATAGACCTGAAAGCTGTCCTAATGTTCACTTCCAGATACTACAGAAAGAGTGTTTCAAAACTGCTGTAGGAAAGGGAATTTTCAACTCTGTGACTTGAATGCACACATCACAAAGTAGTTTCTGAGGATGCTGCTGTCTACTTTTGATACGTAATCCCGTTTCCAACGAAATCCTCCAAGCTATCCAAATATCCACTTGCAGATTCCACAGAAAGAATGTTTCAAAACTGCTCTGTCAATAGAAAGGTTCAACTGTGTTAGCTGCGTGCATATATCCCAAACAAGATTGCTGAGATTGCTTCTGTCTAGTTTTTAGGGGAAGATATTTCCCTTTTCACCGTAGGTGTCAAGGCGCTCCAAATGTCCACTTCCAGATACTACAAAAAGAGTGTTTCAAACCTACTCTGTGAAAGGGAATATTCAACTCTGTGACTTGAATGCAGATATCACAATGAAGTTTCTGAGAATGCTTCTGTCGAGATTTTATATGAAGATATTCCCGTTTCCAACGAAATCCTGAAATCTATCCAAATATTCCCTCGCAGATTCTACAAAAAGAGTGTTTCAAAACTGCTCTGTAAAAAGAAAGGTTCAACTCTGTTAGTTGAGTACACACATCACAAACAAGTTTCACAGAATGCTTCTTTCTAGCTTGTAGGGGAAGATATTCCCTTTATCACCATGGGCCTCAAACCGTCCGAAACGTCCACTTCCATATACTACAAAAAGAGCGTTTCAAACCTGCTCTATGAAAGGCAATGTTCAACTCTGTGACTTGAATCCAGACATCACAGAGCAGTTTCTGAGAATGCTTCTGTCTAGATTTGATATGAAGATATTCCCGTTTCCAACGAAATCTTCACAGCTATCCAAATATCCACTTGCAGATTCTACAAAAAGAGTGTATCAAAACTGCTCTGTCAAAAGGAAGGTTCTTTTCTGTTAGGTGAGTGCATACGTCATAAAGGAGTTTCTGAGAATGTTTCTGTCTAGTGGTTATGGGAAGATATTTGCTTTTTCACCGTAGGCCTCAGAGCGCTCCAAATATCCACTTGCATATACTACAAAAAGAGTGCTTCAAAGCTGCTCTCTGAAACGGAATGTTCAACTCTATGAGTTGAATGCAAACATGACAAAGACGTTTCTGAGAATGCTTCTGTCTAGATTTGATATGAAGATATTCCCGTTTCCAACGAAATCTTCAAATCTATCCAAATGTCCACTTGCAGATTCAACAAAAAGTGTTTTTCAGAACTGCTCTATCAAAAGAAAGATCCACCTCTATTAGCTGAGTTCACACATCACAAACAAGTTTATGAGAATGCTTCTGTCTAGTTTTTATTTGAAGATATTTCCTTTCTCACCATAGACCTGAAAGCTGTGCTGTTTACTTCCAGATACTACAGAAAGAGTGTTTCAGAACTGCTGTACGAAAGGGAATGTTCAACTCTGTGACTTGAATGCACACATCACAAGGAAGTTTCTGAGGATGCTGCTGTCTACTTTTTATACGTAATCCCGTTTCCAACGAAATCCTCCAAGCTATCCAAATATCCACTTGCAGATACCACAGAAAGACTGTTTCAAAACTGCTCTGTCAATAGAAAGGTTCAACTCTGTTAGCTGCGTGCATATATCCCAAAGAGGATTCTGAGATTGCTTCTGTCTAGTTTTTATGGGAAGATATTTCCCTTTTCACCGTAGGTGTCAAGGCGCTCCAAATGTCCACTTCCAGATACTACAAAAAGAGTGTTTCAAACCTACTCTGTGAAAGGGAATATTGAACTCTGTGACTTGAATGCAGATATCACAAAGAAGTTTCTGAGAATGCTTCTGTCGAGATTTTATATGAAGATATTCCCGTTTCCAACGAAATCCTGAAATCTATCCAAATATCCCCTCGCAGATTCTACAAAAAGAGTGTTTCAAAACTGCTCTGTAAAAAGAAAGGTTCAACTCTGTTAATTGAGTACACACATCACAAACAAGTTTCACAGAATGCTTCTTTCTAGCTTGTAGGGGAAGATATTCCCTTTAATACCATGGGCCTCAAACCGTCCGAAACGTCCACTTCCATATACTAAAAAAAGAGTGTTTCAAACCTGCTCTATGAAAGGCAATGTTCAACTCTGTGACTTGAATGCAGACATCACAGAGCAGTTTCTGAGAATGCTTCTGTCTAGATTTTATAGGAAGATATTCCCGTATCCAACGAAATCTTCACAGCTATCCAAATATCCACTTCCAGATTCTACAAAAAGAGTGTATCAAAACTGCTCTGTCAAAAGGAAGGTTCTTCTCTGTTAGTTGAGTACATACGTCATAAAGGAGTTTCTGAGAATGTTTCTGTCTAGTGGTTATGGGAAGATATTTGCTTTTTCACCGTAGGCCTCAAAGCGCTCCAAATGTCCACTTGCACATACTACAAAAAGAGTGCTTCAAAGCTGCTCTCTGAAAGGGAATGTTCAACTCTATGAGTTGAATGCTAACATCACAAAGACGTTTCTGAGAATGCTTCTGTCTAGATTTGATATGAAGATATTCCCGTTTCCAATGAAATCTTCAAATCTATCCAAATGTCCACTTGCAGATTCAACAAAAAGTGTTTTTCAGAACTGCTCTATCAAAAGAAAGATCCACCTCTGTTAGCTGAGTTCACACATCACAAACAAGTTTATGAGAATGCTTCTGTCTAGTTTTTATTTGAAGATATTTCCTTACTCACGATAGACCTGAAAGCTGTCCTAATGTTCACTTCCAGATACTACAGAAAGAGCGTTTCAAAACTGCTGTACGAAAGGGAATGTTCAACTCTGTGTCTTGAATGCACACATCACAAAGAAGGTTTCTGAGGATGCTGCTGTCTACTTTTTATACGTAATCCCGTTTCCAACGAAATCCTCCAAGCTATCCAAATATCCACTTGGAGATTCCACAAAAAGACTGTTTCAAAACTACTCTGTCAATAGAAAGGTTCAACTCTGTTAGCTGCGTGCATATATCCCAAAGAAGATTCTGAGATTGCTTCTGTCTAGTTTTTATGGGAAGATATTTCCCTTTTCACCGTAGGTGTCAAGGCGCTCCAAATGTCCACTTCCAGATACTACAAAAAGAGTGTTGCAAACCTACTCTGTGAAAGGGAATATTCAACTCTGTGACTTGAATGCACATATCACAAAGAAGTTTCTGAGAATGCTTCTGTCGAGATTTTATATGAAGATATTCCTGTTTCCAACGAAATCCTGAAATGTATCCAAATATCCCCTCGCAGATTCTACAAAAAGAGTGTTTCAAAACTGCTCTGTAAAAAGAAAGGTTCAACTCTGTTAGTTGAGTACACACATCACAAAGAAGTTTCACAGAATGCTTCTTTCTAGCTTGTAGGGGAAGATATTCCCTTTATCACCATCGGCCTCAAACCGTGTGAAACGTCCACTTCCATATACTACAAAAAGAGCTTTTCAAACCTGCTCTATGAAAGGCAATGTTCAACTCTGTGACTTGAATGCAGACATCACAGAGCAGTTTCTGAGAATGCTTCTGTCTAGATTTTATAGGAAGATATTCCCGTTTCCAACGAAATCTTCACAGCTATCCCAATATCCACTTGCAGTTTCTACAAAAAGAGTGTGTCAAAACTGCTCTGTCAAAAGGAAGGTTCTTCTCTGTTAGGTGAGTGCATACGTCATAAAGCAGTTTCTGAGAATGTTTCTGTCTAGTGGTTATGGGAAGATATTTGCTTTTTCACCGTAGGCCTCAGAGCGCTCCAAATATCCACTTGCACATACTACAAAAAGAGTGCCTCAAAGCTGCTCTCTGAAACGGAATGTTCAACTCTACGAGTTGAATGCAAACATCACAAAGACGTTTCTGAGAATGCTTCTGTCTAGATTTGATATGACGATATTCCCGTTTCCAACGAAATATTCAAATCTATCCAAATGTCCACTTGCAGATTCAACAAAAAGTGTTTTTCAGAACTGCTCTATCAAAAGAAAGATCCACCTCTGTTAGCTGAGTTCACACATCACAAACAAGTTTATGAGAATGCTTCTGTCTAGTTTTTATTTGAAGATATTTCCTTTCTCACCATAGACCTGAAAGCTGTCCTAATGTTCACTTCCAGATATTACAGAAAGAGTGTTTCAAAACTGCTGTACGAAAGGGAATGTTCAACTCTGTGACTTGAATGCACACATCACAAAGAAGTTTCTGAGGATGCTGCTGTCTACTTTTTATACGTAATCCCGTTTCCAACGAAATCCTCCAAGCTATCCAAATATCCACTTGCAGATTCCACAGAAAGACTGTTTCAAAACTGCTCTGTCAATAGAAAGGTTCAACTCTGTTAGCTGCGTGCATATATCCCAAAGAAGATTCTGAGATTGATTCTGTCTAGTTTTTATGGGAAGATATTTCCCTTTTCACCGTAGGCGTCAAGGCGCTCCAAATGTCCACTTCAAGATACTACAAAAAGAGTGTTTCAAACCTACTCTGTGAAAGGGAATATTCAACTCTGTGACTTGAAGGCAGATATCACAAAGAAGTTTCTGAGAATGCTTCTGTCGAGATTTTATATGAAGATGTTCCCGTTTCCAACGAAACCCTGAAATCTATCCAAATATCCCCTCGCAGATTCTACAGAAAGAGTGTTTCAAAACTGCTCTGTAAAAAGAAAGGTTCAACTCTGTTACTTGAGTACACACATCACAAACAAGTTTCACAGAATGCTTCTTTCTAGCTTGTAGGGGAAGATATACCCTTTATCACCATGGGCCTCAAACCGTTCGAAACGTCCTCTTCCATATAGTACAAAAAGAGCGTTTCAAACCTGCTCTATGAAAGGCAATGTTCAACTCTGTGACTTGAATGCAGACATCACAGAGCAGTTTCTGAGAATGCTTCTGTCTAGATTTTATAGGAAGATATTCCCGTTTCCAACGAAATCTTCACAGCTATCCAAATATCCACTTGCAGATTCTACAAAAAGAGTGTATCAAAACTGCTCAGTCAAAAGGAAGGTTCTTCTCTGTTACGTGAGTGCATACGTCATAAAGGAGTTTCTGAGAATGTTTCTGTCTAGTGGTTATGGGAAGATATTTGCTTTTTCACCGTAGGCCTCAGAGCGCTCCAAATATCCACTGGCACATACTACAAAAAGAGTGCTTCAAAGCTGCTCTCTGAAACGGAATGTTCAACTCTATGAGTTGAATGCAAACATCACAAAGACGTTTCTGAGAATGCTTCTGTCTAGACTTGATATGAAGATATTCCCGTTTCCAACGACATCTTCAAATCTATCCAAATGTCCACTTGCAGATTCTACAAAAAGTGTTTTTCAGAACTGCTCTATCAAAAGATAGATCCACCTCTGTTAGCTGAGTTCACACATCACAAACAAGTTTATGAGAATGCTTCTGTCTAGTTTTTATTTGAAGATATTTCCTTTCTCACCATAGAGCTGAAAGCTGTCCTAATGTTCACTTCCAGATACTACAGAAAGAGGGTTTCAAAACTGCTGTACGAAAGGGAATGTTCAACTCTGTGACTTGAATGCACACATCACAAAGAAGTTTCTGAGGATGCTGCTGTCTACTTTTTATACGTAATCCCGTTTCCAACGAAATCCTCCAATCTATCCAAATATCCACTTGCAGATTCCACAGAAAGACTGTTTCAAATCTGCTCTGTCAATAGAAAGATTCAACTCTCTTAGCTGCGTGCATATATCCCAAAGAAGATTCTGAGATTGCTTCTGTCTAGTTTTTATGGGAAGATATTTCGCTTTTCACCGTAGGCGTCAAGGCGCTCCAAATGTACACTTCCAGATACTACAAAAAGAGTGTTTCAAACATACTCTGTGAAAGGGAATATTCAACTCTGTGACTTGAATGCACATACCACAAAGAAGTTTCTGAGAATGCTTCTGTCGAGATTTTATATGAAGATATTCCCGTTTCCAACGAAATGCTGAAATGTATCCAAATATCCCCTCGCAGATTCTACAAAAAGAGTGTTTCAAAACTGCTCTGTAAAAAGAAAGGTTCAACTCTGTTAGTTGAGTACACATATCACAAACAAGTTTCACAGAATGCTTCTTTCTAGCTTGTAGGGGAAGATATTCCCTTTATCACCATGGGCCTCAAACCGTCCGAAACGTCCACTTCCATATACTACAAAAAGAGCGTTTCAAACCTGCTCTATGAAAGGCAATGTTCAACTCTGTGACTTGAATGCAGACATCACAGAGCACTTTCTGAGAATGCTTCTGTCCAGACTTTATAGGAAGATATTCCCGTTTCCAACGAAATCTTCACAGCTATCCAAATATCCACTTGCAGATAGTACAACAAGAGTGTATCAGAAATGCTCTGTCAAAAGGAAAGTTCTTCTCTGCTAGTTGAGTACATACGTCATAAAGAAGTTTCTGAGAATGTTTCTGTCTAGTGGTTATGGGAAGATATTTGCTTTTTCACCGTAGGCCTCAGTGCGCTCCAAATATCCACTTGCACATACTACAAAAAGAGTGCCTCAAAGCTGCTCTCTGAAACGGAATGTTCAACTCTAGGAGTTGAATGCAAACATCACAAAGACGTTTCTGAGAATGCTTCTGTCTAGATTTGATATGAAGATATTCCCGTTTCCAACGAAATCTTCAAATCTATCCAAATGTCCCCTTGCAGATTCAACAAAAAGTGTTTTTCAGAACTGCTCTATCAAAAGAAAGATCCACCTCGGTTAGCTGAGTTCACACATCACAAACAGGTTTATGAGAATGCTTCTGTCTAGTTTTTATTTGAAGATATTTCCTTTCTCACCATAGACCTGAAAGGTCTCGAAACGTTCACTTCCAGGTACTAGAGAAAGAGTTTTTCAAACCTGCTGTACGAAAGGGAATGTTCAACTCTTTGACTTGAATGCACACATCACAAAGAAGTTTCTGAGAATGCTGCTGTCTACTTTTTATACGTAATCCCGTTTCCAACGAAGTCCTCCAAGCTATCCAAATATCCACTTGCAGATTCCACAGAAAGACTGTTTCAAAACTGCTCTGTCAATAGAAAGGTTCAACTCTGTTAGCTGCGTGCATATATCACAAAGAAGATTCTGAGATTGCTTCTGTCTAGTTTTTATGGGAAGATATTTCCCTTTTCACCGTAGGTGTCAAGGCGCTCCAAATGTCCACTTCCAGATACTACAAAAAGGGTGTTTCAAACCTACTCTGTGAAAGGGAATATTCAACTCTGTGACTTGGATGCACATATCACAAAGAAGTTTCTGAGAATGCTTCTGTCTAGATTTTATAGGAAGATATTCCCGTTTCCAACGAAATCTTCACAGCTATCCAAATATCCCCTCGCAGATTCTACAAAAAGAGTGTTGCAAAACTGCTCTGTAAAAGGAAAGGTTCAACCCTGTTAGTTGAGTACACACATCACAAACAAGTTTCACAGAATGCTTCTTTCTAGCTTGTAGGGGAAGATATTTCCTTTATCACCATGGGCCTCAAACTGTCCGAAACGTCCACTTCCATATACTACAAAAAGAGCGTTTCAAACCTGCTCTATGAAAGGCAATGTTCAACTCTGTGACTTGAATGCAGACATCACAGAGCAGTTTCTGAGTATACTTCTGTCTAGATTTTATAGGAAGATATTCCCGTTTCCAAAGAAATCTTCACAGCTATCTAAATATCCACTTGCAGATTCTACAAAAAGAGTGTATCAAAAGTGCTCTGTCAAAAGGAAGGTTCTTCTCTGTTAGGTGAGTGCATACGTCATAAAGGAGTTTCTGAGAATGTTTCCGTCTAGTGGTTATGGGAAGATATTTGCTTTTTCACCGTAGGCCTCAGAGCGCTCCAAATATCCACTTGCACATACTACAAAAAGAGTGCTTCAAAGCTGCTCTCTGAAACGGAATGTTCAACTCTATGAGTTGAATGCAAACATCACAAAGACGTTTCTGAGAATGCTTCTGTCTAGATTTGATATGAAGATATTCCCGTTTCCAACGAAATCTTCAAATCTATCCAAATGTCCACTTGCAGATTCAACAAAGTGTTTTTCAGAACTGCTCTATCAAAAGAAAGATCCACCTCTGTTAGCTGAGATCAAACTTCACAAACAAGTTTATCAGAATGCTTCCGTCTAGTTTTTATTTGAAGATATATCCTTTCTCACTATAGACCTGAAAGCTGTCCTAAAGTTCACTTCCAGATACTACAGAAAGTGTGTTTCAAAACTGCTGTACGAAAGGGAATGTTCAACTCTGTGACTTGAATGCACACATCACAAGGATGTTTCTGAGGATGCTGCTGTCTACTTTTTATACGTAATCCCGTTTCCAACGAAATCCTCCAAGCTATCCAAATATCCACTTGCAGATTCCACAGAAAGACTGTTTCAAATCTGCTCTGTCAATAGAAAGGTTCAACTCTGTTAGCTGCATGCATATATCCCAAAGAAGATTCTGAGATTGCTTCTGTCTAGTTTTTATGAGAAGATATTTCCCTTTTCACCGTAGGCCTCAAGGCGCTCCAAATGTCCACTTCCAGATACTACAAAAAGAGTGTTTCAAACCTACTCTGTGAAAGGGAATATTCAACTCTGTGACTTAAAGGCAGATATCACAAAGAAGTTTCTGAGAATGCTTCTGTCGAGATTTTATATGAAGATATTCCCGTTTCCAACGAAATCCTGAAATCTATCCAAATATCCCCTTGCAGATTCTACAAAAAGAGTGTTTCAAAACTGCTCTGTAAAAAGAAAGGTTCAACTCTGTTAGTTGAGTACACACATCACAAACAAGTTTCACACAATGCTTTCTTTCTAGCTTGTAGGGGAAGATATTCCCTTTATCACCATGGTCCTCAAACCGTCGAAACGTCCTGTTCCATATAGTACAAAAAGAGCCTTTCAAACCTGCTCTATGAAAGGCAATGTTCAACTCTGTGACTTGAATGCAGACATCACAGAGCAGTTTCTGAGAATGCTTCTGTCTAGATTTTATAGGAAGATATTCCCGTTTCCAACGAAATCTTCACAGCTATCCAAATATCCACTTGCAGATTCTACAAAAAGAGTGTATCAAAACTGCTCTGTCAAAAGGAAGGTTCTTCCCTGTTAGGTGAGTGCATACGTCATAAAGGAGTTTCTGAGAATGTTTCTGTCTAGTGGTTATGGGAAGATATTTGCTTTTTCACCGTAGGCCTCAGAGCGCTCCAAATATCCACTTGCACATACTACAAGAAGAGTGCTTCAAAGCTGCTCTCTGAAACGGAATGTTCAACTCTATGAGTTGAATGCAAACATCACAAAGACGTTTCTGAGAATGCTTCTGTCTAGATTTGATATGAAGATATTCCCGTTTTCAACGAAATCTTCAAATCTATCCAAATGTCCACTTGCAGATTCAACAAAAAGTGTTTTTCAGAACTGCTCTATCAAAAGAAAGATCCACCTCTGTTAGCTGAGTTCACACATCACAAACAAGTTTATGAGAATGCTTCTGTCTAGTTTTTATTTGAAGATATTTCCTTTCTAACCATAGACCTGAAAGCTGTCCTAATGTTCACTTCCAGATACTACAGAAAGAGTGTTTCAAAACTGCTGTACGAAAGGGAATGTTCAACTCTGTGACTTGAATGCACACATCACAAAGAAGTTTCTGAGGATGCTGCGGTCTACTTTATATACGTAATCCCGTTTCCAACGAAATCCTCCAAGCTATCCAAATATCCACTTGCAGATTCCACAGAAAGACTGTTTCAAAACTGCTCTGTCAATAGAAAGGTTCAACTCTGTTAGCTGCGTGCATATATCCCAAAGAAGATTCTGAGATTGCTTCTGTCTACTTTTTATGAGAAGATATTTCCCTTTTCACCGCAGGCGTCAAGGCGCTCCAAATGTCCACTTCCAGATACTACAAAAAGAGTGTTTCAAACCTACTCTGTGAAAGGGAATATTCAACTCTGTGACTTGAATGCACATATCACAAAGAAGCTTCTGAGAATGCTTCTGTCGAGATTTTATATGAAGATATTCCTGTTTCCAACGAAATCCTGAAATCTATCCAAATATCCCCTCGCAGATTCTACAAAAAGAGTGTTTCAAAACTGCTCTGTAAAAAGAAAGGTTCAACTCTGTTAGTTGAGTACACACATCACAAACAAGTTTCACAGAATGCTTCTTTCTAGCTGGTAGGGGAAGATATTCGCTGTATCACCATGGGCCTCAAAACGTCCGAAACGTCCACTTCCATATACTACAAAAAGAGCGTTTCAAACCTGCTCTATGAAAGGCAATGTTCAACTCTGTGTCTTGAATGCAGACATCACACAGCAGTTTCTGAGAATGCTTCTGTCTAGATTTTATAGGAAGATATTCCCGTTTCCAACGAAATCTTCACAGCTATCAAAATATCCACTTGCAGATTCTACAAAAAGAGTGTATCAAAACTGCTCTGTCAAAAGGAAGGTTCTTCTCTCTTAGGTGAGTGCATACTTCATAAAGGAGTTTCTGAGAATGTTTCTGTCTAGTGGTTATGGGAAGATATTTGCTTTTTCACCGTAGGCCCCAGAGCGCTCCAAATATCCACTTGCACATACTACAAAAAGAGTGCTTCAAAGCTGCTCTCTGAAAGGGAATGTTCAACTCTATGAGTTGAATGCAATCATCACAAAGACGTTTCTGAGAATGCTTCTGTCTAGATTTGATATGAAGATATTCCCGTTTCCAACGAAATCTTCAAATCTATCCAAATGTCCACTTGCAGATTCAACAAAAAGTGTTTTTCAGAACTGCTCTATCAAAAGAAAGATTCACCTCTGTTAGCTGAGTTCACACATCACAAGCAAGTTTATGAGAATGCTTCTGTCTAGTTTTTATTTGAAGATACTTCCTTTCTCACCATAGACCTGAAAGCTGTCCTAGTGTTCACTTCCAGATACTACAGAAAGAGTGTTTCAAAACTGCTGTACGAAAGGGAATGTTCAACTCTGTGACTTGAATGCACACATCACAAAGAAGTTTCTGAGGATGCTGCTGTCTACTTTTTATGCGTAATCCCGTTTCCAACGAAATCCTCTAAGCTATCCAAATATCCACTTGCAGATTCCACAGAAAGACTGTTTCAAAACTGCTCTGTCAATAGAAAGGTTCAACTCTGTTAGCTGCGTGCATATATCCCAAAGAAGATTCTGAGATTGCTTCTGTCTACTTTTTATGGGAAGATATTTCCCTTTTCACCGTAGGTGTCAAGGCGCTCCAAATGTCCACTTCCAGATACTACAAAAAGAGTGTTTCTAACCTACTCTGTGAAAGGGAATATTCAACTCTGTGACTTGAATGCACATATCACAAAGAAGTTTCTGAGAATGCTTCTGTCGAGATTTTATATGAAGATATTCCCGTTTCGAACGAAATCCTGAAATCTATCCAAATATCCCCTCGCAGATTCTACAAAAAGAGTGTTTCAAAACTGCTCTGTAAAAAGAAAGGTTCAACTCTGTTAGTTGAGTACACACATCACAAACAGGTTTCACAGAATGCTTCTTTCTAGCTTGTAGGGGAATATATTCCCTTTATCACCATGGGTCTCAAACCGTCCGAAACGTCCACTTCCATATACTACAAAAAGAGCGTTTCAAACCTGCTCTATGAAAGGCAATGTTCAACTCTGTGACTTGAATGCAGACATCACAGAGCTGTTTCTGAGAATGCTTCTGTCTAGATTTTATAGGAAGATATTCCCGTTTCCAACGAAATCTTCACAGCTATCCAAATATCCACTTGCCGATTCTACAAAAAGAGTGTATCAAAACTGCTCTGTCAAAAGGAAGGTTCTTCTCTGTTAGGTGAGTGCATACGTCATAAAGGAGTTTCTGAGAATGTTTCTGTCTAGTGGTTATGGGAAGATATTTGCTTTTTCACCGTAGGCCTCAGAGCGCTCCAAATATCCACTTGCACATGCTACAAAAAGAGTGCTTCAAAGCTGCTCTCTGAAACGGAATGTTCAACTCTATGAGTTGAATGCAAACATCACAAAGACGTTTCTGAGAATGCTTCTGTCTAGATTTGATATGAAGATATTCCCGTTTCCAACGAAATCTTAAAATCTATCCAAATGTCCACTTGCAGATTCAACAAAATGTGTTTTTCAGAACTGCTCTATCAAAAGAAAGATCCACCTCTGTAAGCTGAGTTCACACATCACAAACAAGTTTATGAGAATGCTTCTGTCTAGTTTTTATTTGAAGATATTTCCTTTCTCACCATAGACCTGAAAGCTCTCCTAGTGTTCACTTCCAGATACTACAGAAAGAGTGTTTCAAAACTGCTGTACGAAAGGGAATGTTCAACTCTGTGACTTGAATGCACACATCACAAAGAAGTTTCTGAGGATGCTGCTGTCTACTTTTTATACGTATCCCGTTTCCAACGAAATCCTCCAAGCTATCCAAATATCCACTTGCAGATTCCACAGAAAGACTGTTTCAAAACTGCTCTGTCAATAGAAAGGTTCAACTCTGTTAGCTGCGTGCATATATCCCAAAGAAGATTCTGAGATTGCTTCTGTCTAGTTTTTATGGGAAGATATTTCCCTTTTCACCGTAGGTGTCAAGGCGCTCAAAATGTCCACTTCCAGATACTACAAGAAGAGTGTTTCAAACCTACTCTGTGAAAGGCAATATTCAACTCTGTGACTTGAATGCAGATATCACAAAGAAGTTTCTGAGAATGCTTCTGTCGAGATTTTATATGAAGATATTCTCGTTTCCAACGAAATCCTGAAATCTATCCAAATATCCCCTCACAGATTCTACAAAAAGAGTGTTTCAAAACTGCTCTGTAAAAAGAAAGGTTCAACTCTGTTAGTTGAGTACACACATCACAAACAAGTTTCACACAATGCTTCTTTCTAGCTTGTAGGGGAAGATATTCCCTTTATCACCATGGGCCTCAAACCGTCGGAAACATCCACTTCCATATACTACAAAAAGAGCGTTTCAAACCTGCTCTATGAAAGGCAATGTTCAACTCTGTGACTTGAATGCAGACATCACAGAGCAGTTTCTGAGAATGCTTCTGTCTAGATTTTATAGGAAGATATTCCCGTTTCCAGGGAAATCTTCACAGCTATCCAAATATCCACTTGCAGATTCTACAAAAAGAGTGTATCAAAACTGCTCTGTCAAAAGGAAGGTTCTTCTCTGTTAGGTGAGTACATACGTCATAAAGGAGTTTCTGAGAATGTTTCTGTCTAGTGGTTATGGGAAGATATTTGCTTTTTCCCCGTAGGCCTCAGGGCGCTCCAAATGTCCACTTGCACATGCTACAAAAAGAGTGCTTCAAAGCTGCTCTCTCAAAGGGAATGTTCAACTCTATGAGTTGAATGCAAACATCGCAAAGACGTTTACTGAGAATGCTTCTGTCTAGATTTGATATGAAGATATTCCCGTTTCCAACGAAATCTTCAAATCTATCCAAATGTCCACTAGCAGATTCAACAAAAAGTGTTTTTCAGAACTGCTCTATCAAAAGAAAGATCCACCTCTGTTAGCTGAGTTCACACATCACAAACAAGTTTATGAGAATGCTTCCGTCTAGTTTTTATTTGAAGATATTTCCTTTCTCACCATAGACCTGAAAGCTGTCCTAATGTTCACTTCCAGATACTACAGAAAGAGTGTTTCAAAACTGCTGTACGAAAGGGAATGTTCAACTCTGTGACTTGAATGCACACATCACAAAGAAGTTTCCTGAGGATGCTGCTGTCTACTTTTTATACGTAATCCCGTTTCCAACGAAATCCTCCAAGCTATCCAAATATCCACTTGCAGATTCCACAGAAAGACTGTTTCAAAACTGCTCTGTCAATAGAAAGGTTCAACTCTGTTAGCTGCGTGGCATATATCCCAAAGAAGATTCTGAGATTGCTTCTGTCTAGTTTTTATCGGAAGATATTTCCCTTTTCACCGTAGGCGTCAAGGCGCTCCAAATGTCCAATTCCAGATACTATAAAAAGAGTGTTTCAAACCTACTCTGTGAAAGGGAATATTCAACTCTGTGACTGGAATGCAGATATCACAAAGATGTTTCTGAGAATGCTTCTGTCGAGATTTTATATGAAGATATTCCCGTTTCCAATGAAATCCTGAAATCTATCCAAATATCCCCTCGTAGATTCTACAAAAAGAGTGTTTCAAAACTGCTCTGTAAAAAGAAAGTTTCAACTCTGTTAGTTGAGTACACACATCACAAACAAGTTTCACAGAATGCTTCTTTCTAGCTTGTAGGGGAAGATATTCCCTTTATCACCATGGGCCTCAAACCGTCCGAAACGTCTACTTCCATATACTACAAAAAGAGCATTTCAAACCTGCTCTAGGAAAGGCAATGTTCAACTCTGTGACTTGAATGCAGACATCACAGAGCAGTTTCTGAGAATGCTTCTGTCTAGATTTTATAGGAAGATATTCCCGTTTCCAATCGAAATCTTCACAGGTATCCAAATATCCACTTGCAGATTCTACAAAAAGAGTGTATCAAAACTGCTCTGTCAAAAGGAAGGTTCTTCTCTGTTAGGTGAGTGCATACGTCATAAAGGAGTTTCTGAGAATGTTTCCGTCTAGTGGTTATGGGAAGATATTTGCTTTCTCACCGTAGGCCTCAGAGCGCTCCAAATATCCACTTGCACATACTACAAAAAGAGTGCTTCAAAGCTGTTCTCTGAAACGGAATGTTCAACTCTATGAGTTGAATGCAAACATCGCAAAGACGTTTCTGAGAATGCTTCTGTCTAGATTTGATATGAAGATATTCCCGTTTCCAACGAAATCTTCATATCTATCCAAATGTCCACTTGCAGATTCAACAAAAAGTGTTTTTCAAAACTTCTGTATCAAAAGAAAGATCCACGTCTGTTAGCTGAGTTCACACATCACAAACAAGTTTATGAGAATGCTTCTGTCTAGTTTTTATTTGAAGATATTTCCTTTCGCACCATAGACCTGAAAGCTGTCCTAATGTTCACTTCCAGATACTACAGAAAGAGTGTTTCAAAACTGCTGTACGAAAGGGAATGTTCAACTCTGTGACTTGAATGCACACATCACAAAGAAGTTTCTGAGGATGCTGCTGTCTACTTTTTATACGTAATCCCGTTTCCAGCGAAATCCTCCAATCTATCCAAATATCCACTTGCAGATTCCACAGAAAGACTGTTTCAAAACTGCTCTGTCAATAGAAAGGTTCAACTCTGTTAGCTGCGTGCATATATCCCAAAGAAGATTCTGAGATTGCTTCTGTCTAGTTTTTATGGGAAGATATTTCCCTTTTCACCGTAGGTGTCAAGGCGCTCCAAATGGCCACTTCCAGATACTACAAAAAGAGTGTTTCAAACCTACTCTGTGAAAGGGAATATTCAACTGTGTGACTAGAATGCACGTATCACAAAGAAGTTTCTGAGAATGCTTCTGTCGAGATTTTATATGAAGATATTCCCGTTTCCAACGAAATCCTGAAATCTATCCAAATATCCCCTTGCAGATTCTACAAAAAGAGTGTTTCAAAACTGCTCTGTAAAAAGAAAGGTTCAACTCTGTTAGTTGAGTACACACATCACAAACAGGTTTCACACAATGCTTCTTTCTAGCTTGTAGGGGAAGATATTCCCTTTATCACCATGGGCCTCAAAACGTCCGATAAGTCCACTTCCATATACTACAAAAAGAGCGTTTCAAACCTGCTCTATGAAAGGCAATGTTCAACTCTGTGACTTGAATGCAGACATCACAGAGCAGTTTCTGAGAATGCTTCTGTCCAGACTTTATAGGAAGATATTCCCGTTTCCAAAGAAATCTTCACAGCTATCCAAATATCCACTTGCAGATTCTACAAAAAGAGTGTATCAAAACTGCTCTGTCAAAAGGAAGGTTCTTCCCTGTTAGTTGAGTGCATACGTCATAAAGGAGTTTCTGAGAATGTTTCTGTCTAGTGGTTATGGGAAGATATTTGCTTTTTCACCGTAGGCCTCAGAGCGCTCCAAATATCCACTTGCACATACTACAAAAAGAGTGCCTCAAAGCTGCTCTCTGAAAAGGAATGTTCAACTCTATGAGTTGAATGCAAACATCGCAAAGACGTTTCTGAGAATGCTTCTGTCTAGATTTGATATGAAGGTATTCCCGTTTCCAACGAAATCTTCAAATCTATCCAAATGTCCACTTGCAGATTCAACAAAAAGTGTTTTTCAGAACTGCTCTATCAAAAGAAAGATCCACCTCTGTTAGCTGAGTTCACACATCACAAACAAGTTTTTGAGAATGCTTTCTGTCTAGTTTTTATTTGAAGATATTTCCTTTCTCACCATAGAGCTGAAAGCTGTCCTAATGTTCACTTCCAGATACTACAGAAAGAGTGTTTCAAAACTGCTGTATGAAAGGGAATGTTCAACTCTGTGACTTGAATGCACACATCACAAAGAAGTTTCGGAGGATGCTGCTGTCTACTTTTTATACGTAATCCCGTTTCCAACGAAATCCTCCAAGCTATCCAAATATCCACTTGCAGATTCCACAGAAAGACTCTTTCAAAACTGCTCTGTCAATAGAAAGGTTCAACTCTGTTAGCTGCGTACATATATCCCAAAGAAGATTCTGAGATTGCTTCTGTCTAGTTTTTATGGGAAGATATTTCCCTTTTCACCATAGGCGTCAAGGCGCTCCAAATGTCCACTTCCAGATACTACAAAAAGAGTGTTTCAAACCTACTCTGTGAAAGGGAATATTCAACTCTGTGACTTGAATGCACATATCACGAAGAAGTTTCTGCGAATGCTTCGGTCTTCTGTCGAGATTTTATATGAAGATATTCCCGTTTCCAACGAAATCCTGAAATCTATCCAAATATCCCCTCGCAGATTCTACAAAAAGAGTGTTTCAAAACTGCTCTGTAAAAAGAAAGGTTCAACTCTGTTAGTTGAGTACACACAGCACAAACAAGTTTCACAGAATGCTTCTTTCTAGCTTGTAGGGGAAGATATTCCCTTTATCACCATGGGCCTCAAACCGTCCGAAACGTCCACTTCCATACACTACAAAAAGAGCGTTTCAAACCTGCTCTATGAAAGGCAATGTTCAACTCTGTGACTTGAATGCAGACATCACAGAGCAGTTTCTGAGAATGCTTCTGTCTAGATTTTATATGAAGATATTCCCATTTCCAATGAAATCTTCAAAGATATCCAAATATCCAATTGCAGATTCTACAAAAAGAGTGTATCAAAACTGTTGTGTCAAAAGGAAGGTTCAACTCTGTTAGTTGTGTACATACATCATAAAGAAGTTTCTGAGAATGTTTCTGTCTAGTGGTTATGGGAAGATATTTGCTTTTTCACCGTAGGCCTCAGAGCGCTCCAAATATCCACTTGCACATACTACAAAAAGAGTGCTTCAAAGCTGGTCTCTGAAACGGAATGTTCAACTCTATGAGTTGAATGCAAACATCACAAAGACGTTTCTGAGAATGCTCTGTCTAGATTTGATATGAAGATATTCCCGTTTCCAACGAAATCTTCAAATCTATCCAAATGTCCACTTGCAGATTCAACAAAACGTGTTTTTCAGAACTGCTCTATCAAAAGAAAGATCCACCTCTGTTAGCTGAGTTCACACATCACAAACAAGTTTATGAGAATGCTTCTGTCTAGTTTTTATTTGAAGATATAACCTTTCTCACTATAGACCTGAAAGCTCTCCTAAAGTTCACTTCCAGATACTACAGAAAGAGTGTTTCAAAACTGCTGTACAAAAGGGAATGTTCAACTCTGTGACTTGAATGCACACATCACAAAGAAGTTTCTGAGGATGCTGCTGTCTACTTTTTATACTTAATCCCGTTTCCAACGAAATCCTCCAAGCTATCCGAATATCCACTTCCAGATTCCACAGAAAGACTGTTTCAAAACTGCTCTGTCAATAGAAAGGTTCAACTCTGTTAGCTGCGTGCATATATCCCAAAGAAGATTCTGAGATTGCTTCTGTCTAGTTTTTATGGGAAGATATTTCCCTTTTCACCGTAGGCGTCCAGGCGCTCCAAATGTCCACTTCCAGATACTACAAAAAGAGTGTTTCAAACCTACTCTGTGAAAGGGAATATTCAACTCTGTGACTTGAATGCACATATCACAAGGGAAGTTTCTGAGAATGCTTCTGTCGAGATTTTATATGAAGATATTCCCGTTTCCAACGAAATGCTGAAATCTATCCAAATATCCCCTCGCAGATTCTACAAAAAGAGTGTTTCAAAACTGCTCTGTAAAAAGAAAGGTTCAACTCTGTTAGTTGAGTACACACATCACAAACAAGTTTCACACAATGCTTCTTTCTAGCTTGTAGGGGAAGATATTCCCTTTATCACCATGGGCCTCAAACCGTCCGAAACGTCCACTTCCAAATACTACAAAAAGAGTGTTTCAAACCTGCTCTATGAAAGGCAATGTTCAACTCTGTGACTTGAATGCAGACATCACAGAGCACTTTCTGAGAATGCTTCTGTCTAGATTTTATAGGAAGATATTCCCGTTTCCAACGAAATCTTCACAGCTATCCAAATATCCACTTGCAGATTCTACAAAATGTGTGTATCAAAACTGCTCTGTCAAAAGGAAGGTTCTTCTCTCTTAGGTGAGTACATACGTCATAAAGGAGTTTCTGAGAATGTTTCTGTCTAGTGGTTATGGGAAGATATTTGCTTTTTCACCTTAGGCCTCAGAGCGCTCCAAATATCCCCTTGCACATACTACAAAAAGAGTGCTTCACAGCTGCTCTCTGAAACGGAATGTTCAACTCTATGAGTTGAATGCAAACATCACAAAGACGTTTCTGAGAATGCTTCGGTCTAGATTTGATATGAAGATATTCCCGTTTCCAACGAAATCTTCAAATCTATCCAAATGTCCACTTGCAGATTCAACAAAAAGTGTTTTTCAGAACTGCTCTATCAAAAGAAAGATCCACCTCTGTTAGCTGAGTTCACACATCACAAACAAGTTTATGAGAATGCTTTCTGTCTAGTTTTTATTTGAAGATATTTCCTTTCTCACCGTAGACCTGAAAGCTGTCCTAATGTTCACTTCCAGATACTACAGAAAGAGTGTTTCAAAACTGCTGTACGAAAGGGAATGTTCAACTCTGTGACTTCAATGCAAACATCACAAAGAAGTTTCTGAGGATGCTGCTGTCTACTTTTTACACGTAATCCCGTTTCCAACGAAATCCTCCAAGCTATCCAAATATCCACTTGCAGATTCCACAGAAAGACTGTTTCAAAACTGCTCTGTCAATAGAAAGGTTCAACTCTGTTAGCTGCGTGCATATATCCCAAAGGAGATTCTGAGATTGCTTCTGTCTAGTTTTTATGGGAAGATATTTACCTTTTCACTTTAGGTGTCAAGGCGCTCCAAATGTCCACTTCCAGATACTACAAAAAGAGTGTTTCAAACCTACTCTGTGAAAGGGAATATTCAACTCTGTGACTTGAATGCAGATATCACAAAGAAGTTTCTGAGAATGCTTCTGTCGAGATTTTATATGAAGATATTCCCGTTTCCAACGAAATCCTGAAATCTATCCAAATATCCCCTCGCAGATTCTACAAAAAGAGTGTTTCAAAACTGCTGTGTAAAAAGAAAGGTTCAACTCTGTTAGTTGAGTACACACATCACAAACAAATTTCACAGAATGATTCTTTCTAGCTTGTAGGGGAAGATATTCCCTTTATCACCATGGGCCTCAAACCGTCCGAAACGTCCACTTCCATATACTACAAAAAGAGCGTTTCAAACCTGCTCTATGAAAGGCAATGTTCAACTCTGTGACTTGAATGCAGACATCACAGAGCACTTTCTGAGAAGGCTTCTGTCTAGATTTTATAGGAAGATATTCCCGTTTCCAACGAAATCTTCACAGCTATCCAAATATCCACTTGCAGATTCTACAAAAAGAGTGTATCAAAACTGCTCTGGCAAAAGGAAGGTTCTTTTCTGTTAGGTGAGTGCATACGTCATAAAGGAGTTTCTGAGAATGTTTCTGTCTAGTGGTTATGGGAAGATATTTGCTTTTTCACCGTAGGCCTCAGAGCGCTCCAAATATCCACTTGCACATACGACAAAAAGAGTGCTTCAAAGCTGCTCTCTGAAACGGAATGTTCAACTCTGTGAGTTGAATGCAAACGTCACAAAGACGTTTCCGCGAATGCTTCTGTCTAGATTTGATATGAAGATATTCCCGTTTCCAACGAAATCTTCAAATCTATCCAAATGTCCACTTGCAGATTCTACAAAAAGTGTTTTTCAGAACTGCTCTATCAAGAGAAAGATCCACCTCTGTTAGCTGAGTTCACACATCACAAACAAGTTTATGAGAATGCTTCTGTCTAGTTTTTGTTTGAAGATATTTCCTTTCTCACCATAGAGCTGAAAGCTGTCCTAATGTTCACTTCCAGATACTACAGAAAGAGTGTTTCAAAACTGCTGTACGAAAGGGAATGTTCAACTCTGTCACTTGAATGCACACATCACAAAGAAGTTTCTGAGGATGCTGCTGTCTACTTTTTATACTTAATCCCGTTTCCAACGAAGTCCTCCAAGCTATCCAAATATCCACTTGCAGATTCCACAGAAAGGCTGTTTCAAAACTGCTCTGTCAATAGAAAGGTTCAACTCTGTTAGCTGCGTGCATATATCCCAAAGAAGATTCTGAGATTGCTTCTGTCTAGTTTTTAGGGGAAGATATTTCCCTTTTCACCGTAGGTGTCAAGGCGCTCCAAATGTCCACTTCCAGATACTACAAAAAGAGTGTTTCAAACCTACTCTGTGAAAGGGAATATTCAACTCTGTGACTTCAATGCACATATCACAAAGAAGTTTCTGAGAATGCTTCTGCCGAGATTTTATATGAAGATATTCCCGTTTCCAACGAAATGCTGAAATCTATCCAAATATCCCCTCGCAGATTCTACAAAAAGAGTGTTTCAAAACTGCTCTGTGAAAAGAAAGGTTCATCTCTGTTAGTTGAGTACACACATCACAAACAAGTTTCACAGAATGCTTCTTTCTAGCTTGTAGGGGAAGATATTCCCTTTATCACCATGGGCCTCAAACCGTCTGAAACGTCCACTTCCATATACTACAAAAAGAGCATTTCAAACCTGCTCTGTGAAAGGCAATGTTCAACTCTGTGACTTGAATGCAGACATCACACAGCAGTTTCTGAGAATGCTTCTGTCTAGATTTTATAGGAAGATATTCCCGTTTCCAACGAAATCTTCACAGCTATCCAAATATCCACTTGCAGATTCTACAAAAAGAGTGTATCAAAACTGCTCTGTCAAAAGGAAGGTTCTTTTCTGTCAGGTGAGTGCATACGTCATAAAGGAGTTTCTGAGAATGTTTCTGTCTAGTGGTTATGGGAAGATATTTGCTTTTTCACCTTAGGCCTCAGAGCGCTCAAAATATCCCCTTGCACATACTACAAAAAGAGTGCTTCAAAGCTGCTCTCTGAAACGGAATGTTCAACTCTATGGGTTGAATGCAAACATCACAAAGACGTTTCCGAGAATGCTTCTGTCTAGATTTGATATGACGATATTCCCGTTTACAACGAAATCTTCAAATCTATCCAAATGTCCACTTGCAGATTCAACAAAACGTGTTTTTCAGAACTGCTCTATCAAAAGAAAGATCCACCTCTGTTAGCTGAGTTCACACATCACAAACAAGTTTATGAGAATGCTTCTGTCTAGTTTTTATTTGAAGATATTTCCTTTCTCACCATAGACCTGAAAGCTGTCCTAATGTTCACTTCGAGATACTACAGAAAGAGTGTTTCAAAACTGCTGTACGAAAGGGAATGTTCAACTCTGTGACTTGAATGCACACATCACAAAGAAGTTTCTGAGGATGCTGCTGTCTACTTTTTATACGTAATCCCGTTTCCAACGAAATCCTCCAAGCTATCCAAATATCCATTTGCAGATTCCACAGAAAGACTGTTTCAAAACTGCTCTGTCAATAGAAAGTTTCAACTCTGTTAGCTGCGTGCATATATCCCAAAGAAGATTCTGAGATTGCTTCTGTCTAGTTTTTATGGGAAGATATTTCCCTTTTCACCTTAGGCGTCAAGGCGCTCCAAATGTCCACTTCCAGATACTACAAAAAGAGTGTTTCAAACCTACTCTGTGAAAGGGAATATTCAACTCTGTGACTTGAATGCACATATCACAAAGAAGTTTCTGAGAATGCTTCTGTCGAGATTTTATATGAAGATATTCCCGTTTCCAACGAAATCCTGAAATCTATCCAAATGTCCCCTCGCAGATTCTACAAAAAGAGTGTTTCAAAACTGCTCTGTAAAAAGAAAGGTTCAACTCTGTTAGTTGAGTACACACATCACAAAGAAGTTTCACAGAATGCTTCTTTCTAGCTTGTTGGGGAAGATATTCCCTTTATCACCATGGGCCTCAAACCGTCCGAAACGTCCACTTCCATATACTACAAAAAGAGTGTTTCAAACCTGCTCTATGAACGGCAATGTTCAACTCTGTGACTTGAATGCAGACATCACAGAGCAGTTTCTGAGAATGCTTCTGTCTAGATTTTATAGGAAGTATATTCCCGTTTCCAACGAAATCTTCACAGCTATCCAAATATCCACTTGCAGATTCTACAAAAAGAGTGTATCAAAACTGCTCTGTCAAAAGGAAGGTTCTTTTCTGTTAGGTGAGTGCATACGTCATAAAGGAGTTTCTGAGAATGTTTCTGTCTAGTGGTTATTGGAAGATATTTGCTTTTTCACCGTAGGCCTCAGATCGCTCCAAATATCCACTTGCACATACTACAAAAAGAGTGCTTCAAAGCTGCTCTCTGAAACGGAATGTTCAACTCTATGAGTTGAATGCAAACATCACAAAGACGTTTCTGAGAATGCTTCTGTCTAGATTTGATATGAAGATATTCCCGTTTCCAACGAAATCTTCAAATCTATCCAAATGTCCACTTGCAGATTCAACAAAAAGTGTTTTTCAAAACTGCTGTATCAAAAGAAAGATCCACGCCTGTTAGCTGAGTTCACACATCACAAACAAGTTTATGAGAATGCTTCTGTCTAGTTTTTATTTGAAGATATTGCCTTTCTCACCATAGACCTGAAAGCTGTCCTAATGTTCACTTCCAGATACTACAGAAAGAGTTTTTCAAAACTGCTGTACGAAAGGGAATGTTCAACTCTGTGACTTGAATGCACACATCACAAAGAAGTTTCTGAGGATGCTGCTGTCTAATTTTTATACATAATCCCTTTTCCAACGAAATCCTCCAAGCTATCCAAATATCCACTTGCAGATTCCACAGAAAGACTGTTTCAAAACTGCTCTGTCAATAGAAAGGTTCAACTCTGTTAGCTGCGTGCATATATCCCAAAGAAGATTCGGAGATTGCTTCTGTCTCGTTTTTATGGGAAGATATTTACCTTTTCACCGTAGGTGTCAAGGCGCTCCAAATGTCCACTTCCAGATACTACAAAAAGAGTGTTTCAAACCTACTCTGTGAAAGGGAATATTCAACTCTGTGACTTGAATGCAGATATCACAAAGAAGTTTCTGAGAATGCTTCTGTCGAGATTTTATATGAAGATATTCCCGTTTCCAACGAAATCCTGAAATCTATCCAAATATCCCCTCGCAGATTCTACAAAAAGAGTGTTGCAAAACTGCTCTGTAAAAAGAAAGGTTCAACCCTGTTAGTTGAGTACACACATCACAAACAAGTTTCACAGAATGCTTCTTTCTAGCTTGTAGGGGAAGATATTCCCTTTATCACCATGGGCCTCAAACCGTCCGAAACGTCCACTTCCATATAGTACAAAAAGAGTGTTTCAAACCTGCTCTATGAACGGCAATGTTCAACTCTGTGACTTGAATGCAGACATCACAGAGCAGTTTCTGAGAATGCTTCTGTCTAGATTTTATAGGAAGATATTCCCGATTCCAACGAAATCTTCACAGCTATCCAAATATCCACTTGCAGATTCTACAAAAAGAGTGTATCAAAACTGCTCTGTCAAAAGGAAGGTTCTTCTCTGTTAGTTGAGTACATACGTCATAAAGGAGTTTCTGAGAATGTTTCAGTCTAGTGGTTATGGGAAGATATTTGCTTTTTCCCCGTAGGCCTCAGAGCGCTCCAAATATCCACTTGCACATACTACAAAAAGAGTGCTTCAAAGCTGCTCTCTGAAACGGAATGTTCAACTCTATGAGTTGAATGCAAACATCACAAAGACGTTTCTGAGAATGCTTCTGTCGAGATTTTATATGAAGATATTCCCGTTTCCAACGAAATTTTCAAATCTATACAAATGTCCACTTGCAGATTCAACAAAGTGTTTTTCAAAACTGCTGTATCAAAAGAAAGATCCACCTCTGTTAGCTGAGTTCACACTTCACAAACAAGTTTATCAGACTGCTTCTGTCTAGTTTTTATTTGAAGATATTTCCTTTCTCACCACAGACCTGAAAGCTGTCCTAATGTTCACTTGCAGATACTACAGAAAGAGTGTTTCAAAACTGCTGTACGAAAGGGAATGTTCAACTCTGTGACTTGAATGCACACATCACAAAGAAGTTTCTGAGGATGCTGCTGTCTACTTTTTATACGTAATCGCGTTTCCAACGAAATCCTCCAAGCTATCCAAATATCCACTTGCAGATTCCACAGAAAGACTGTTTCAAAACTGCTCTGTCAATAGAAAGGTTCAACTCTGCTAGCTACGTGCATATATCCCAAAGAAGATTCTGAGATTGCTTCTGTCTAGTTTTTATGGGAAGATATTTCCCTTTTCACCGTAGGCGTGAAGGCGCTCCAAATGTCCACTTCCAGATACTACAAAAAGAGTGTTTCAAACCTACTATGTGAAAGGGAATATTCAACTCTGTGACTTCAATGCAGATATCACAAAGAAGTTTCTGAGAAGGCTTCTGTTGAGATTTTATATGAAGATATTCCCGTTTCCAACGAAATCCTGAAATCTATCCAAATATCCCCTCGCAGATTCTACAAAAAGAGTGTTTCAAAACTGCTCTGTAAAAAGAAAGGTGCAACTCTGTTAGTTGAGTACACACATCACAAACAAGTTTCACAGAATGCTTCTTTCTAGCTTGTAGGGGAAGATATTCCCTTTATCACCATGGGCCTCAAACCGTCCGAAACGTCCACTTCCATATACTACAGAAAGAGCGTTTCAAACCTGTTCTAGGAAAGGCAATGTTCAACTCTGTGACTTGAATGCAGACATCACAGAGCAGTTTCTGAGAATGCTTCTGTCTAGATTTTATAGGAAGATATTCCCGTTTCCAACGAAATCTTCACAGCTATCCAAATATCCACTTGCAGATTCTACAAAAAGAGTGTATCAAAACTGCTCTGTCAAAAGGAAGGTTCTTTTCTGTTAGGTGAGTGCATACGTCATAAAGGAGTTTCTGAGAATGTTTTCTGTCTAGTGGTTATGGGAAGATATTTGCTTTTTCACCTTAGGCCTCAGAGCGCTCCAAATATCCCCTTGCACATACTACAAAAAGAGTGCTTCAAAGCTGCTCTCTGAAAGAGAATGTTCAACTCTATGAGTTGAATGCAAACATCACAAAGACGTTTCTGGGAATGCTTCTGTCTAGATTTGATATGAAGATATTCCCGTTTCCAAAGAAATCTTCAAATCTATCCAAATGTCCACTTGCAGATTCATCAAAAAGTGTTTTTCAGAACTGCTCTATCAAAAGAAAGATCCACCTCTGTTAGCTGAGTTCACACATCACACACAAGTTTATGAGAATGCTTCTGTCTAGTTTTTATTTGAAGATATTTCCTTTCTCACCATAGACCTGAAAGCTGTCCTAATGTTCACTTCCAGATACTACAGAAAGAGTGTTTCAAAACTGCTGTACGAAAGGGAATGTTCAACTCTGTGACTTGAATTCAATCATCACAAAGAAGTTTCTGAGGATGCTGCTGTCTACTTTTTATACGTAATCCCGTTTCCAAAGAAATCCTCCAAGCTATCCAAATATCCACTTGCAGATTCCACAGAAGGACTGTTTCTAAACTGCTCTGTCAATAGAAAGGTTCAACTCTGTGAGCTGCGTGCATATATCCCAAAGAAGATTCTGAGATTGCTTCTGTCTAGTTTTTATGGGAAGATATTTCCCTTTTCACCGTAGGCGTCAAGGCGCTCCAAATGTCCACTTCCAGATACTACAAAAAGAGTGTTTCAAACCTACTCTGTGAAAGGGAATATTCAACTCTGTGACCTGAATGCACATATCACAAAGAAGTTTCTGAGAATGCTTCCGTCGAGATTTTATATGAAGATATTCCCGTTTCCAACGAAATCCTGAAATCTATCCAAATATCCCCTCGCAGATTCTACAAAAAGAGTGTTTCAACACTGTTCTGTAAAAAGAAAGGTTCAACTCTGTTAGTTGAGTACACACATCACAAACAAGTTTCACAGAATGCTTCTTTCTAGCTTGTAGGGGAAGATATTCCCTTTATCACCATGGGCCTCAAACCATCCGAAATGTCCACTTCAATATACTACAAAAAGAGCGTTTCAAACCTGCTCTAGGAAAGGGAATGTTCAACTCTGTGACTTGAATGCAGACATCACAGAGCAGTTTCTGAGAATGCTTCTCTCTAGATTTTATGGGAAGATATTCCCGTTTCCGACGAAATCTTCACAGCTATCCAAATATCCACTTGCAGATTCTACAAAAAGAGTGTATCAAAACTGCTCTGTCAAAAGGAAGGTTCTTCTCTGTTAGGTGAGTGCATACGTCATAAAGGAGTTTCTGAGAATGTTTCCATCTAGTGGTTATGGGAAGATATTTGCTTTTTCACCGAAGGCCTCAGAGCGCTCCAAATATCCACTTGCACATACTACAAAAAGAGTGCCTCAAAGCTGCTCTCTGAAACGGAATGTTCAACTCTATGAGTTGAATGCAAACATCGCAACGACGTTTCTGAGAATGCTTCTGTCTAGATTTGACATGAAGATATTCCGGTTTCCAACGAAATCTTCAAATCTATCCAAATGTCCACTTGCAGATTCAACAAAAAGTGTTTTTCAGAACTGCTCTATCAAAAGAAAGATCCACCTCTGTTAGCTGAGTTCACACATCACAAACAAGTTTATGAGAATGCTTCTGTCTAGTTTTTATTTGAAGATATATCCTTTCTCACTATAGACGTGAAAGCTCTCCTAAAGTTCACTTCCAGATACTACAGAAAGAGTTTTTCAAAACTGCTGTACGAAAGGGAATGTTCAACTCTGTGACTTGAAAGCACACATCACAAGGAAGATTCTGAGGATGCTGCTGTATACTTTTTATACGTAATCCCGTTTCCAACGAAATCCTCCAAGCTATCCAAATATCCACTTGCAGATTCCACAGAAAGACTGTTTCAAAACTGCTCTGTCAATAGAAAGGTTCAACTCTGTTAGCTGCGTGCATATATCCCAAAGAAGATTCTGAGATTGCTTCTGTCTAGTTTTTATGGGAAGATATTTCCCTTTTCACCGTAGGCGTCAAGGCGCTCCAAATGTCCACTTCCAGATACTACAAAAAGAGTGTTTCAAACCTACTCTGTGAAAGGGAATATTCAACTCTGTGACTTGAGTGCAGATATCACAAAGAAGTTTCTGAGAATGCTTCTGTCGAGATTTTATATGAAGATATTCCCGTTTCCAACGAAATGCTGAAATGTATCCAAATATCCCCTCGCAGATTCTACAAAAAGAGTGTTTCAAAACTGCTCTGTAAAAAGAGAGGTTCAACTCTGTTAGTTGAGTACACACATCACAAACAAGTTTCACACAATGCTTCTTTCTAGCTTGTAGGGGAAGATATGCCCTTTATCACCATGGGCCTCCAACCGTCCGAAACATCCACTTTCATATACTACAAAAAGAGCGTTTCAAACCTGCTCTATGAAAGGCAATGTTCAACTCTGTGACTTGAATGCAGACATCACAGAGCAGTTTCTGAGAATGCTTCTGTCTAGATTTTATAGGAAGTTATTCCCGTTTCCAACGAAATCTTCACAGCTATCCAAATATCCACTTGCAGATTCTACAAAAAGAGTGTATCAAAACTGCTCTGTCAAAAGGAAGGTTCTTTTCTGTTAGGTGAGTGCATACGTCATAAAGGAGTTTCTGAGAATGTTTCTGTCTAGTGGTTATGGGAAGATATTTGCTTTTTCACCGTAGGCCTCAGAGCGCTCCAAATATCCACTTGCACATACTACAAAAAGAGTGCTTCAAAGCTGCTCTCTGAAAGGGAATGTTCAACTCTATGAGTTGAATGCGAACATCACAAAGACGTTTCTGAGAATGCTTCTGTCTAGATTTGATATGAAGATATTCCCGTTTCCAACGAAATCTTCAAATCTATCCAAATGTCCACTTGCAGATTCAACAAAAAGTGTTTTTCAGAACTGCTCTATCAAAAGAAAGATCCACCTCTGTTAGCTGAGTTCACACATCACTAACAGGTTTATGAGAATGCTTCTGTCTAATTTTTATTTGAAGATATTTCCTTTCTCACCATAGACCTGAAAGCGGTCCTAATGTTCACTTCCAGATACTACAGAAAGAGTGTTTCAAAACTGCTGTACGAAAGGGAATGTTCAACTCTGTGACTTGAATGCACACATCACAAAGAAGTTTCTGAGGATGCTGCTGTCTACCTTTTATACGTAATCCCGTTTCCAACGAAATCCTCCAAGCTATCCAAATATCCACTTGCAGATTCCACAGAAAGACTGTTTCAAAACTGCTCTGTCAATAGAAAGGTTCAACTCTGTTAGCTGCGTGCATATATCCCAAAGAAGATTCTGAGATTGCTTCTGTCTAGTTTTTATGGGAAGATATTTCCCTTTTCACCGTAGGCGTCAAGGCGCTCCAAATGTCCACTTCCAGATACTACAAAAAGAGTGTTTCAAACCTACTCTGTGAAAGGGAATATTCAACTCTGTGACTTGAAGGAAGATATCACAAAGAAGTTTCTGAGAATGCTTCTGTCGAGATTTTCTATGAAGATGTTCCCGTTTCCAACGAAATCCTGAAATCTATCCAAATATCCCCTCGCAGATTCTACAAAAAGAGTGTTTCAAAACTGCTCTGTAAAAAGAAAGGTTCAACTCTGTTAGTTGAGTACACACATCACAAACAAGTTTCACAGAATGCTTCTTTCTAGCTTGTAGGGGAAGATATTCCCTTTATCACCATGGGCCTCAAACCGTCCGAAACGTCCTCTTCCATATACTACAAAAAGAGCGTTTCAAACCTGCTCTATGAAAGGCAATGTTCAACTCTGTGACTTGAATGCAGACATCACAGAGCAGTTTCTGAGAATGCTTCTGTCTAGATTTTATAGGAAGATATTCCCGTTTCCAACGAAATATTCACAGCTATCCAAATATCCACTTGCAGATTCTACAAAAAGAGTGTATCAAAACTGCTCTGTCAAAAGGAAGGTTCTTCTCTGTTAGGTGAGTGCATACGTCATAAAGGAGTTTCTGAGAATGTTTCTGTCTAGTGGTTATGGGAAGATATTTGCTTTTTCACCGTAGGCCTCAGAGCGCTCCAAATATCCACTTGCACATACTACAAAAAGAGTGCTTCAAAGCTGCTCTCTGAAACGGAATGTTCAACTCTACGAGTTGAATGCAAACATCACAAAGACGTTTCTGAGAATGCTTCTGTCTAGATTTGATATGAAGATATTCCCGTTTCCAACGAAATCTTCAAATCTATCCAAAGGTCCACTTGCAGATTCAACAAAAAGTGTTTTTCAGAACTGCTCTATCAAAAGAAAGATCCACCTCTGTTAGCTGAGTTCACACATCACAAACAAGTTTATGAGAATGCTTATCTGTCTACTTTTTATTTGAAGATATTTCCTTTCTCACCATAGACCTGAAAGCTGTCCTAATGTTCACTCCCAGATACTACAGAAAGAGTGTTTCAAAACTGCTGTACGAAAGGGAATGTTCAACTCTATGACTTGAATGCACACATCACAAAGAAGATTCTGAGGATGCTGCTGTCTACTTTTTATACGTAATCCCGTTTCCAACAAAATCCTCCAAGCTATCCAAATATCCACTTGCAGATTCCACAGAAAGACTGTTTCAAAACTGCTCTGTCAATAGAAAGGTTCAACTCTATTAGCTGCGTACATATATCCCAAAGAAGATTCTGAGATTGCTTCTGTCTAGTTTTTATGGGAAGATATTTCCCTTTTCACTGTAGGCGTCAAGGCGCTCCAAATGTCCACTTCCAGATACTACAAAAAGAGTGTTTCAAACCTACTCTGTGAAAGGGAATATTCAACTCTGTGACTTAAAGGCAGATATCACAAAGAAGTTTCTGAGAATGCTTCTGTCGAGATTTTATATGAAGATATTCCCGTTTCCAACGAAATCCTGAAATCTATCCAAATATCCCCTCGCAGATTCTACAAAAAGAGTGTTTCAAAACTGCTCTGTAAAAAGAAAGGTTCAACTCTGTTAGTTGAGTACACACATCACAACCAAGTTTCACAGAATGCTTCTTTCTAGCTTGTAGGGGAAGATATTCCCTTTATCACCATGGGCCTCAAACTGTCAGAAACGTCCACTTCCATATACTACAAAAAGAGCGTTTCAAACCTGCTCTATGAAAGGCAATGTTCAGCTCTGTGACTTGAATGCAGACATCACAGAGCAGTTTCTGAGAATGCTTCTGTCTAGATTTTATAGGAAGATATTCCCGTTTCCAACGAAATCTTCACAGATATCCAAATATCCACTTGCAGATTCTACAAAAAGAGTGTATCAAAACTGCTCTGTCAAAAGGAAGGTTCTTCTCTGTTAGGTGAGTGCATACGTTATAAAGGAGTTTCTGAGAATGTTTCTGTCTAGTGGTTATGGGAAGATATTTGCTTTTTCACCGTAGGCCTCAGAGCGCTCCAAATATCCACTTGGACATACTACAAAAAGAGTGCCTCAAAGCTGCTCTCTGAAACGGAATGTTCAACTCTATGAGTTGAATGCAAACATCGCAAAGACGTTTCTGAGAATGCTTCTGTCTAGATTTGATATGAAGATATTCCCGTTTCCAACGAAATCTTCAAATCTATCCAAATGTCCACTTGCAGATTCAACAAAAAGTGTTTTTCAGAACTGCTCAATCAAAAGAAAGATCCACCTGTGTTAGCTGAGTTCACACATCACAAACAAGTTTATGAGAATGCTTCTGTCTAGTTTTTATTTGAAGATATTTCCTTTCTCAACATAGACCTGAAGGCTGTCCTAATGTTCACTTCCAGATACTACAGAAAGAGTGTTTCAAAACTGCTGTACGAAAGGGAATGTTCAACTCTGTGACTTGAATGCACACATCACAAAGAAGTTTCTGAGGATGCTGCTGTCTACTTTTTATACGTAATCCCGTTTCCAACGAAATCCTCCAATCTATCCAAATATCCACTTGCAGATTCCACAGAAAGACTGTTTCAAAACTGCTCTGTCAATAGAAAGGTTCATCTCTGTTAGCTGCGTGCATATATCCCAAAGAAGATTCTGAGATTGCTTTTGTTTAGTTTTTAATGGGAAGATATTTCCCTTTTCACCGTAGGTGTCAAGGCGCTCCAAATGTCCACTTCCAGATACTACAAAAAGAGTGTTTCCAACCTACTCTGTGAAAGGGAATATTCAACTCTGTGACTTGAATGCACATATCACAAAGAAGTTTCTGAGAATGCTTCTGTCGAGATTTTATATGAAGATATTCCCGTTTCCAACGAAATCCTGAAATCTATCCAAATATCCCCTCGCAGATTCTACAAAAAGAGTTTTTCAAAACTGCTCTGTAAAAAGAAAGGCTCTGTTAGTTGAGTACACACATCACAAACAAGTTTCACAGAATGCTTCTTTATAGCTTGTAGGGGAAGATATTCCCTTTATCACCATGGGCCTCCAACCGTCCGAAACATCCACTTCCCTATACTACAAAAAGAGCGTTTCAAACCTGCTCTATGAAAGGCAATGTTCAACTCTGTGACTTGAATGCAGACATCACAGAGCAGTTTCTGAGAATGCTTCTGTCTAGATTTTATAGGAAGATATTCCCGTTTCCAACGAAATCTTCACAGCTATCCAAATATGCACTTGCAGATTCTACAAAAAGAGTGTATCAAAACTGCTGTATCAAAAGAAAGAATGTTCTTCTCTGTTAGTTGAGTACATACGTCATAAAGGAGTTTCTGAGAATGTTTCTGTATAGTGGTTATGGGAAGATATTTGCTTTTTCACCGTAGGCCTCAGAGCGCTCCAAATATCCACTTGCACATACTACAAAAAGAGTGCTTCAAAGCTGCTCTCTGAAACGGAATGTTCAACTCTATGAGTTGAATGCAAACATCACAAAGACGTTTCCGAGAATCCTTCTGTCTAGATTTGATATGAAGATATTCCCGTTTCCAACGAAATCTTCATATCTATCCAAATGTCCACTTGCAGATTCAACAGAAAGTGTTTTTCAAAACTTCTCTATCAAAAGAAAGATCCACCTCTGTTAGCTGAGTTCACACATCACAAACAAGTTTATGAGAATGCTTCTGTCTAGTTTTTATTTGAAGATATATCCTTTCTCACTATAGACCTGAAAGCTGTCCTAAAGTTCACTAACAGATACTACAGAAAGAGTGTTTCAAAACTGCTGTACGAAAGGGAATGTTCAACTCTGTGACATGAATGCACACATCACAAGGATGTTTCTGAGGATGCTGCTGTCTACTTTTTATACGTAATCCCGTTTCCAACGAAATCCTCCAATCTATCCAAATATCCACTTGCAGATTCCACAGAAAGACTGTTTCAAATCTGCTCTGTCAACAGAAAGATTCAACTCTGTTAGCTGCGTGCATATATCCCAAAGAAGATTCTGAGATTGCCTTCTGTGTAGTTTTTATGGGAAGATATTTCCCTTTTTACCGTAGGTGTCAAGGCGCTCAAAATGTCCACTTCCAGATACTACAAAAAGAGTGTTTCAAACCTACTCTGTGAAAGGGAATATTCAACTCTGTGACTTGAATGCAGATATCACAAAGAAGTTTCTGAGAATGCTTCTGTCGAGATTTTATATGAAGATATTCCCGTTTCCAACGAAATCCTGAAATCTATCCAAATATCCCCTCGCAGATTCTACAAAAGGAGTGTTTCAAAACTGCTCTGTAAAAAGAAACGTTCAACTCTGTTAGTTGAGTACACACATCACAAACAAGTTTCACAGAATGCTTCTTTCTAGCTTGTAGGGGAAGATATTCCCTAAATCACCATGGGCCTCAAACCGTCCGAAACGTCCACTTCCATATACTACAAAAAGAGTGTTTCAAACCTGCTCTATGAAAGGCAATGTTCAACTCTGTGACTTGAATGCAGACACCACAGAGCAGTTTCTGAGAATGCTTCTGTCTAGATTTTATAGGAATATATTCCCGTTTTCAACGAAATCTTCACAGCTATCCAAATATCCACTTGCAGATTCCACAAAAAGAGTGTATCAAAACTGCTCTGTCAAAAGGAAGGTTCTTTTCTGTTAGGTGAGTGCATACTGTCATAAAGGAGTTTCTGAGAATGTTTCTGTCTAGTGGTTATGGGAAGATATTTGCTTTTCCCCGTAGGCCTCAGGGCGCTCCAAATGTCCACTTGCACATGCTACAAAAAGAGTGCTTCAAAGCTACTCTCTGGAAGGGAATGTTCAACTCTATGAGTTGAATGCAAACATCACAAAGACGTTTCTGAGAATGCTTCTGTCTAGATTTGATATGAAGATATTCCCGTTTCCAACGAAATCTTCAAATCTATCCAAATGTCCACTTGCAGATTCAACAAAAAGTGTTTTTCAGAACTGCTCTATCAAAAGAAAGATCCACCTCTGTTAGCTGAGTTCACACATCACAAACAAGTTTATAAGATGCTTCTGTCTAGTTTTTATTTGAAGATATTTCCTTTCTCTCCATAGAGCTGAAAGCTGTCCTAATGTTCACTTCCAGATACTACAGAAAGAGTGTTTCAAAACTGCTGTACGAAAGGGAATGTTCAACTCTGTGACTTGAATGCACACATCACAAAGAAGTTTCTGAGGATGCTGCTGTCTACTTTTTATACGTAATCCCGTTTCCAACGAAATCCTCCAAGCTATCCAAATATCCACTTGCAGATTCCAGAGAAAGACTGTTTCAAAACTGCTCTGTCAATAGAAAGGTTCAACTCTGTTAGCTGCATGCATATATCCCAAAGAAGATTCTGAGATTGCTTCTGTCTACTTTTTATGAGAAGATATTTCCCTTTTCACCGTAGGCCTCAAGGCGCTCCAAATGTCCACTTCCAGATACTACAAAAAGAGTGTTTCAAACCTACTCTGTGAAAGGGAATATTCAACTCTGTGACTTGAATGCACATATCACAAAGAAGTTTACTGAGAATGCTTCTGTCGAGATTTTATATGAAGATATTCCCGTTTCCAACGAAATCCTGAAATCTATCCAAATATCCCCTCGCAGATTCTACAAAAAGAGTGGTTCAAAACTGCTCTGTAAAACGAAAGGTTCAACTCTGTTAGTTGAGTACACACATCACAAACAAGTTTCACAGAATGCTTCTTTCTAGCTTGTAGGGGAAGATATTCCCTTTATCACCATGGGCCTCAAACCGTCCGAAACATCCAGTTCCATATACTACAAAAAGAGCGTTTCAAACCTGCTCTATGAAAGGCAATGTTCAACTCTGTGACTTGAATGCAGACATCACAGAGCAGTTTCTGAGAATGCTCCTGTCTAGATTTTATAGGAAGATATTCCCGTTTCCAACGAAATCTTCACAGCTATCCAAATATCCACTTGCAGATTCTACAAAAAGAGTGTATCAAAACTGCTCTGTCAAAAGGAAGGTTTTTCTCTGTTAGTTGAGTGCATACGTCATAAAGGAGTTTCTGAGAATGTTTCTGTATAGTGGTTATGGGAAGATATTTGCTTTTTCACCGTAGGCCTCAGAGCGCTCCAAATATCCACTTGCACATACTACAAAAAGAGTGCTTCAAAGCTGCTCTCTGAAATGGAATGTTCAACTCTATGAGTTGAATGCAAACATCACAAAGACGTTTCTGAGAATGCTTCTGTCTAGATTTGATATGAAGATATTCCCGTTTCCAACGAAATCTTCAAATCTATCCAAATGTCCACTTGCAGATTCAACAAAAAGTGTTTTTCAGAACTGCTCTATCAAAAGAAAGATCCACCTCTGTTAGCTGAGTTCAGACATCACAATCAAGTTTATGAGAATGCTTCTGTCTAGTTTTTATTTGAAGATATTTCCTTTCTCACCATAGACCTGAAAGCTGTCCTAATTTTCACTTCCAGATACTACAGAAAGAGTGTTTCAAAACTGCTGTACGAAAGGGAATGTTCAACTCTGTGACTTGAATGCACACATCACAAAGAAGTTTCTGAGGATGCTGCTGTCTACTTTTTATACGTAATCCCATTTCCAACGAAATCCTCCAAGCTATCCAAATATCCACTTGCAGATTCCACAGAAAGACTGTTTCAAAACTGCTATGTCAATAGAAAAGTTCAACTCAGTTAGCTGTGTGCATATATCCCAAGGAAGATTCTGAGATTGCTTCTGTCTAGTTTTTATGGGAAGATATTTCCCTTTTCACCGTAGGTGTCAAGGCGCTCCAAATATCCACTTCCAGATACTACAAAAAGAGTGTTTCAAACCTTCTCTGTGGAAGGGAATATTGAACTCTGTGACTTGAATGCAGATATCACAAAGAAGTTTCTGAAAATGCTTCTGTCGAGATTTTATATGAAGATATTCCCCTTTCCAACGAAATCCTGAAATCTATCCAAATATCCCCTCGCAGATTCTACAAAAAGAGTGTTTCAAAACTGCTCTGTAAAAAGAAAGGTTCAACTGCTGTTAGTTGAGTACACACATCACAAACAAGTTTCACAGAATGCTTTCTTTCTAGCTTGTAGGAGAAGATATTCCCTTTATCACCATGGGCCTCCAACCGTCCGAAACATCCACTTACATATACTACAAAAAGAGCGTTTCAAACCTGCTCTATGAAAGGCAATGTTCAACTCTGTGACTTGAATACAGATATCACAGAGCAGTTTCTGAGAATGCTTCTGTCTAGATTTTATAGGAAGATATTCTCGTTTCCAACGAAATCTTCACAGCTATCCAAATATCCACTTGCAGATTCTACAAAAAGAGTGTATCAAAACTGCTCTGTCAAAAGGAAGGTTCTTCTCTGTTAGGTGAGTGCATACGTCATAAAGCAGTTTCTGAGAATGTTTCTGTCTAGTGGTTATGGGAAGATATTTGCTTTTTCACCTTAGGCCTCAGAGCGCTCCAAATATCCCCTTGCACATACTACAAAAAGAGTGCTTCAAAGCTGTTCTCTGAAAGGGAATGTTCAACTCTATGAGTTGAATGCAAACATCACAAAGACGTTTCTGAGAATTCTTCTGTCTAGATTTGATATGAAGATATTCCCGTTTCCAACGAAATCTTCAAATCTATCCAAATGTCCACTTGCAGATTCAACAAAATGTGTTTTTCAAAACTGCTGTATCAAAAGAAAGATCCACCTCTGTTAGCTGAGTTCACACATCACAAACAAGTTTATGAGAATGCTTCCGTCTAGTTTTTATTTGAAGATATTTCCTTTCTCACCATAGACCTGAAAGCTGTCCTAATGTTCACTTCCAGATACTACAGAAAGAGTGTTTCAAAACTGCTGTACGAAAGGGAATGTACAACTCTGTGACTTGAATGCACACATCACAAAGAAGTTTTCTGAGGATGCTGCTGTCTACTTTTTATACGTAATCCCGTTTCCAACGAAATCCTCCAAGCTATACAAATATCCACTTGCAGATTCCACAGAAAGACTGTTTCAAAACTGCTCTGTCAATAGAAAGGTTCAACTCTGTTAGCTGCGTGCATATATCCCAAAGAAGATTCTGAGATTGCTTCTGTCTAGTTTTTATGGGAAGATATTTCCCTTTTCACCGTAGGCGTCAAGGCGCTCCAAATGTCCACTTCCTGATACTACAAAAAGAGTGTTTCAATCCTACTCTGTGAAAAGGAATATTCAACTCTGTGACTTGAATGCAGATATCACAAAGAAGTTTCTGAGAATGCTTCTGTCGAGATTTTATATGAAGATATTCCCGTTTCCAACGAAATCCTGAAATCTATCCAAATATCCCCTCGCAGGTTCTACAAAAAGAGTGTTTCAAAACTGCTCTGTAAAAAGAAAGGTTCAACTCTGTTAGTTGAGTACACACATCACAAACAAGTTTCACAGAATGCTTCTTTCTAGCTTGTAGGGGAAGATATTCCCTTTATCACCTTGGGCCTCCAACCGTCCGAAACATCCACTTCCATATACTACAAAAAGAGCGTTTCAAACCTGCTCTATGAAAGGCAATGTTCAACTCTGTGACTTGAATGCAGACATCACAGAGCAGTTTCTGAGAATGCTTCTGTCTAGATTTTATAGGAAGATATTCCCGTTTCCAACGAAATCTTCACAGCTATCCAAATATCCACTTGCAGATTCTACAAAAAGAGTGTATCAAAACTGCTCTGTCAAAAGGAAGGTTCTTTTCTGTTAGGTGAGTGCATACGTCATAAATGAGTTTCTGAGAATGTTTCTGTCTAGTGGTTATGGGAAGATATTTGCTTTTTCACCGTAGGCCTCAGAGCGCTCCAAATATCCACTTGCACATACTACAAAAAGAGTGCCTCAAAGCTGCTCTCTGAAACGGAATGTTCAACTCTATGAGTTGAATGCAAACATCGCAAAGACGTGTCTGAGAATGCTTCTGTCTAGATTTGATATGAAGATATTCCCGTTTCCAACGAAATCTTCAAATCTATCGAAATGTCCACTTGCAGATTCAACAAAAAGTGTTTTTCAGAACTGCTCTATCAAAAGAAAGATCCACCTCTGTTAGCTGAGTTCACACATCACAAACAAGTATATGAGAATGCTTCTGTCTAGTTTTTATTTGAAGGTATTTCCTTTCTCACCATAGACCTGAAAGCTGTCCTAATGTTCACTTCCAGATACTACAGAAAGAGTGTTTCAAAACTGCTGTACGAAAGGGAATGTTCAACTCTGTGACTTGAATGCACACATCACAAAGAAGTTTCTGAGGATGCCGCTGTCTACTTTTGATACGTAATCCCGTTTCCAACGAAATCCTCCAAGCTATCCAAATATCCACTTGCAGATTCCACAGAAAGAATGTTTCAAAACTGCTCTGTCAATAGAAAGGTTCAACTGTGTTAGCTGCGTGCATATATCCCAAACAAGATTCTGAGATTGCTTCTGTCTAGTTTTTATGGGAAGATATTTCCCTTTTCACCGTAGGCGTCAAGGCGCTCCAAATGTCCACTTCCAGATACAACAAAAAGAGTGTTTCAAACCTACTCTGTGAAAGGGAATATTCAACTCTGTGACTTGAATGCACATATCACAAAGAAGTTTCTGAGAATGCTTCTGTCGAGATTTTATATGAAGATATTCCCGTTTCCAATGAAATCCTGAAGTCTATCCAAATATCCCCTCGCAGATTCTACAGAAAGAGTGTTTCAAAACTGCTCTGTAAAAAGAAAGGTTCAACTCTGTTACTTGAGTACACACATCACAAACAAGTTTCACAGAATGCTTCTTTCTAGCTTGTAGGGGAATATATTCCCTTTATCACCATGGGTCTCAAAGCGTCCGAAACGTCCACTTCCATATAATACAAAAAGAGCGTTTCAAACCTGCTCTATGAAAGGCAATGTTCAACTCTGTGACTTGAATGCAGACATCACAGAGCTGTTTCTGAGAATGCATCTGTCTAGATTTTATAGGAAGATATTCCCGTTTCCAACGAAATCTTCACAGCTATCCAAATATCCACTTGCAGATTCTACAAAAAGAGTGTATCAAAACTGCTCTGTCAAAAGGAAGGTTCTTTTCTGTTAGGTGAGTGCATACGTCATAAAGGGGTTTCTGAGAATGTTTCTGTCTAGTGGTTATGGGAAGATATTTGCTTTTTCACAGAAGGCCTCAGAGCGCTCCAAATATCCACTTGCACATACTACAAAAAGAATGCCTCAAAGCTGCTCTCTGAAACGGAATGTTCAACTTTATGAGTTGAATGCAAACATCACAAAGACGTTTCCGAGAATGCTTCTGTCTAGATTTGATATGAAGATATTCCCGTTTCCAAGGAAATCTTCAAAACTATCCAAATGTCCACTTGCAGATTCAACAAAAAGTGTTTTTCAGAACTGCTCTATCAAAAGAAAGATCCACCGTTGATAGCTGAGTTCACACATCACAAACAAGTTTATGAGAATGCTTCTGTCTAGTTTTTATTTGAAGATATTTCCTTTCTCACCATAGACCTGAAAGCTGTCCTAATGTTCACTTCCATATACTACAGAAAGAGTGTTTCAAAACTGCTGTACGAAAGGGAATGTTCAACTCTGTGACTTGAATGCACACATCACAAAGAAGTTTCTGAGGATGCTGCTGTCTACTTTTTATACATAATCCCGTTTCCAACGAAATCCTCCAATCTATCCAAATATCCACTTGCAGATTCCACAGAAAGACTGTTTCAAATCTGCTCTGTCAATAGAAAGATTCAACTCTGTTAGCTGCGTGCATATATCCCAAAGAAGATTCTGAGATTGCTACTGTCTAGTTTTTATGGGAAGATATTTCCCTTTTCACCGTAGGCGTCAAGGCGCTCCAAATGTCCACATCCAGATACTACAAAAAGAGTGTTTCAAACCTACTCTGTGAAAGGGAGTATTCAACTCTGTGACTTGAATACACATATCACAAAGAAGTTTCTGAGAATGCTTCTGTCGAGATTTTATATGAAGATACTCCCGTTTCCAACGAAATCCTGAAATCTATCCAAATATCCCCTCGCAGATTCTACAAAAAGAGTGTTTCAAAACTGCACTGTAAAAAGAAAGGTTCAACTCCGTTAGTTGAGTACACACATCACAAACAAGTTTCACAGAATGCTTCTTTCTAGCTTGTAGGGGAAGATATTCCCTTTATCACCATGGGCCTCAAACCGTCCGAAACGTCCACTTCCATATACTACAAAAAGAGCGCTTCAAATCTGCTCTATGAAAGACAATGTTCAACTCTGTGACTTGAATGCAGACATCACAGAGCAGTTTCTGAGAATGCTTCTGTCTAGATTTTATAGGAAGATATTCCAGTTTCCAACGAAATCTTCACAGCTATCCAAATATCCACTTGCAGATTCTACAAAAAGAGTGTATCAAAACTGCTCTGTCAAAAGGAAGGTTCTTCTCTGTTAGTTGAGTACATACGTCATAAAGGAGTTTCTGAGAATGTTTCTGTCTAGTGGTTATGGGAAGATATTTGCTTTTTCCCCGTAGGCCTCAGGGCGCTCCAAATGTCCACTTGCACATGCTTCAAAAAGAGTGCTTCAAAGCTGCTCTCTGAAAGGGAATGTTCAACTCTATGAGTTGAATGCAAACATCACAAAGACGTTTCTGAGAATGCTTCTGTCTAGATTTGATAGGAAGATATTCCCGTTTCCAACGAAATCTTCAAATCTATCCAAATGTCCACTTGCAGATTCAACAAAAAGTGTTTTTCAGAACTGCTCTATCAAAAGAAAGATCCACCTCTGTTAGCTGAGTTCAGACATCACAAACAAGTTTATGAGAATGCTTCTGTCTAGTTTTTATTTGAAGATATTTCCTTTCTCACCATAGACCTGAAAGCTGTCCTAATGTTCACTTCCAGGTACTACAGAAAGAGTGTTTCAAAACTGCTGTACGAAAGGGAATGTTCAACTCTGTGACTTGAATGCACACATCACAAAGAAGATTCTGAGGATGCTGCTGTCTACTTTTTATACTTAATCCCGTTTCCAACGAAATCCTCCAAGCTATCCAAATATCCACTTGCAGATTTCACAGAAAGACTGTTTCAAAACTGCTCTGTCAATAGAAAGGTTCAACTCTGTTAGCTGCGTGCATATATCCCAAAGAAGATTCTGAGATTGCTTCTGTCTAGTTTTTATCGGAAGATATTTCCCTTTTCACCGTAGGTGTCAAGGCGCTCCAAATGTCCACTTCCAGATACTACAAAAAGAGTGTTTCAAACCTACTCTGTGAAAGGGAACATTCAACTCTGTGACTTGAATGCAGATATCACAAAGAAGTTTCTGAGAATGCTTCTGTCGAGTATTTTATATGAAGATATTCCCGTTTCCAACGAAATCCTGAAATCTCTCCAAATATCCCCTCGCAGATTCTACAAAAAGAGTGTTTCAAAACTGCTCTGTAAAAAGAAAGGTTCAACTCTGTTAGTTGAGTACACACATCACAAACAAGTTTCACAGAATGCTTCTTTCTAGCTTGTAGGGGAAGATATTCCCTTTATCACCATGGGCCTCAAACCGTCCGAAACGTTTACTTCCATATACTACAAAAAGAGCGTTTCAAACCTGCTCTATGAAAGGCAATGTTCAACTCTGTGACTTGTAATGCAGACATCACAGAGCAGTTTCTGAGAATGCTTCTCTCTAGATTTTATAGGAAGATATTCCCGTTTCCAACGAAATCTTCACAGCTATCCAAATATCCACTTGCAGATTCTACAAAAAGAGTGCATCAAAACTGCTCTGTCAAAAGGAAGGTTCTTCTCTGTTAGTTGAGTACATACGTCATAAAGGAGTTTCTGAGAATGTTTCTGTCTAGTGGTTATGGGAAGATATTTGCTTTTTCACCGTAGGCCTCAGAGCGCTCCAAATATCCACTTGCACATACTACAAAAAGAGTGCCTCAAAGCTGGTCTCTGAAACGGAATGTTCAACTCTATGAGTTGAATGCAAACATCACAAAGACGTTTCTGAGAATGCTTCTGTCTAGATTTGATATGAAGATATTCCCGTTTCCAACGAAATCTTCAAATCTATCCAAATGTCCACTTGCGTATTCAACAAAAAGTGTTTTTCAGAACTGCTCTATCAAAAGAAAGATCCACGGCTCTTAGCTGAGTTCACACATCACGAACAAGTTTATGAGAATGCTTCTGTCTAGTTTTTATTTGAAGATATTTCCTTTCTCACCATAGACCTGAAAGCTGTCCTAATGTTCACTTCCAGATACTACAGAAAGAGTGTTTCAAAACTGCTGTACAAAAGGGAATGTTCAACACTGTGACTTGAATGCACACATCACAAAGAAGTTTCTGAGGATGCTGCTGTCTACTTTTTATACGTAATCTCGTTTCCAACAAAATCCTCCAAGCTATCCAAATATCCACTTGCAGATTCCACAGAAAGACTGTTTCAAAACTGCTCTGTCAATAGAAAGGTTCAACTCTATTAGCTGCGTACATATATCCCAAAGAAGATTCTGAGATTGCTTCTGTCTAGTTTTTATGGGAAGATATTTCCCTTTTCACCGTGGGCGTCAAGGCGCTCCAAATGTCCACTTCCAGATACTACAAAAAGAGTGTTTCAAACCTACTCTGTGAAAGGGAATATTCAACTGTGTGACTTGAATGCACATATCACAAAGAAGTTTCTGAGAATGCTTCTGTCGAGATTTTATATGAAGATATTCCCCTTTCCAACGAAATCCTGAAATCTATCCAAATATCCCCTCGCAGATTCTACAAAAAGAGTGTTTCAAAACTGCTCTGTAAAAAGAAAAGTTCAACTCTGTTAGTTGAGTACACACCTCACAAACAAGTTTCACAGAATGCTTCTTTCTAGCTTGTAGGGGAAGATATTTCCTTTATCACCATGGGCCTCCAACCGTCCGAAAAGTCCACTTCCATATACTACAAAAAGAGCGTTTCAAACCTGCTCTATGAAAGGCAATGTTCAACTCTGTGACTTGAATGCAGACATCACAGAGCAGTTTCTGAGAATGCTTCTGTCTAGATTTTATAGGAAGATATTCCCATTTCCAACGAAATCTTCACAGCTATCCAAATATCCACTTTCAGATTCTACAAAAAGAGTGTATCAAAAATGCTCTGTCAAAAGGAAGGTTCTTCTCTGTTAGGTGAGTGCATACGTCATAAAGGAGTTTCTCAGAATGTTTCTAGTCTAGTGGTTATGGGAAGATATTTGCTTTTTCACCGTAGGCCTCAGAGCGCTCCAAATATCCACTTGCACATACTACAAAAAGAGTGCTTCAAATCTGGTCTCTGAAACGGAATGTTCAACTCTATGAGTTGAATGCAAACATCACAAAGACGTTTCTGAGAATGCTTCTGTCTAGATTTGATATGAAGATATTCCCGTTTCCAACGAAATCTTCAAATCTATCCAAATGTCCACTTGCAGATTCAACAAAAAGTGTTTTTCAGAACTGCTCTATCAAAAGAAAGATCCACCTCTGTTAGCTGAGTTCACACATCACAATCAAGTTTATGAGAATGCTTCCGTCTAGTTTTTATTTGAAGATATATCCTTTCTCACCATAGACCTGAAAGCTGTCCTAAAGTTCACTTCCAGATACTACAGAAAGAGTGTTTCAAAACTGCTGTACGAAAGGGAATGTTCAACTCTGTGACTTGAATGCACACATCACAAGGATGTTTCTGAGGATGCTGCTGTCTACTTTTTATACGTAATCCCGTTTCCAACGAAATCCTCCAAGCTATCCAAATATCCACTTGCAGATTCCACAGAAAGACTGTTTCAAAACTGCTCTGTGTATAGAAAGGTTCAACTCTGTTAGCTGCGTGCATATATCCCAAAGACGATTCTGAGATTGCTTCTGTCTAGTTTTTATGGGAAGATATTTCCCTTTTTACCGTAGGTGTCAAGGCGCTCAAAATGTCCACTTCCAGATACTACAAAAAGAGTGTTTCAAACCTACTCTGTGAAAGGGAATATTCAACTCTGTGACTTGAATGCAGATATCACAAAGAAGTTTCCTGAGAATGCTTCTGTCGAGATTTTATATGAAGATATTCCCGTTTCCAACGAAATCCTGAAATCTATCCAAATATCCCCTCGCAGATTCTACAAAAAGAGTGTTTCAAAACTGCTCTGTAAAAAGAAAGGTTCAACTCTGTTAGTTGAGTACACACATCACAAACAACTTTCACAGAATGCTTCTTTCTAGCTTGTAGGGGAAGATATTCCCTTTATCACCATGGGCCTCCAACCGTCCGAAACATCCACTTCCATATACTACAAAAAGAGCGTTTCAAACCTGCTCTATGAAAGGCAATGTTCAACTCTGTGACTTGAATGCAGACATCACAGAGCAGTTTCTGACAATGCTCCTGTCTAGATTTTATAGGAAGATATTCCCGTTTCCAACGAAATCTTCACAGCTATCCAAATATCCACTTGCAGATTCTACAAAAAGAGTGTATCAAAACTGCTCTGTCAAAAGGAAGGTTCTTCTCTGTTAGGTGAGTGCATACGTCATAAAGGAGTTTCTGAGAATGTTTCTGTCTAGTGGTTATGGGAAGATATTTGCTTTTTCACCGTAGGCCTCAGAGCGCTCCAAATATCCACTTGCACATACTACAAAAAGAGTGCCTCAAAGCTGCTCTCTGAAACGGAATGTTCAACTCTATGAGTTGAATGCAAACATCACAAAGACGTTTCTGAGAATGCCTTCTGTCTAGATTTGATATGAAGATATTCCCGTTTCCAACGAAATCTTCAAATCTATCCAAATGTCCACTTGCAGATTCAACAAAAAGTGTTTTTCAGAACTGCTCTATCAAAAGAAAGATCCACCTCTGTTAGCTGAGTTCACACATCACAAACAAGTTTATGAGATTGCTTCTGTCTAGTTTTTATTTGAAGATATTTCCTTTCTCACCATAGACCTGAAAGCTGTCCTAATGTTCACTTCCACATACTACAGAAAGAGTGTTTCAAAACTGCTGTACGAAAGGGAATTTTCAACTCTGTGACTTGAATGCACACATCACAAAGAAGTTTCTGAGGATGCTGCTGTCTAATTTTTATACGTAATCCCGTTTCCAACGAAATCCTCCAAGCTATCAAAATATCCACTTGCAGATTCCACAGAAAGACTGTTTCAAAACTGCTATGTCAATAGAAAAGTTCAACTCTGTTAGCTGTGTGCGTATATCCCAAAGAAAATTCTGAGATTGCTTCTGTCTACTTTTTATGAGAAGATATTTCCCTTTTCACCGTAGGTGTCAAGGTGCTCCAAATGTCCACTTCCAGATACTACAAAAAGAATGTTTCAAACCTACTCTGTGAAAGGGAATATTCAACTCTGTGACTTGAATGCACATATCACAAAGAAGCTTCTGAGAATGCTTCTGTCGAGATTTTATAGGAAGATATTCCCGTTTCCAACGAAATCCTGAAATCTATCCAAATATCCCCTCGCAGATTCTACAAAAAGAGTGTTTCAAAACTGCTCTGTAAAAAGAAAGGTTCAACTCTGTTAGTTGAGTACACACATCACAAACAAGTTTCACAGAATGCTTCTTTCTAGCTTGTAGGGGAAGATATTCCCTTTATCACCATGGGCCTCAAACCGTCCGAAACATCCACTTCCATATAGTACAAAAAGAGCGTTTCAAACCTGCTCTATGAAAGGCAATGTTCAACTCTGTGACTTGAATGCAGACATCACAGAGCAGTTTCTGAGAATGCTTTTGTTTAGATTTTATAGAAAGATATTCCCTTTTCCAACGAATTCTTCACAGATATCCAAATATCTACTTGCAGATTCTCCAAGAAGAGTGTATCAAAACTGCTCTGTCAAAAGGAAGGTTCTTCTCTGTTAGTTGAGTACATACGTCATAAAGAAGTTTCTGAGAATGTTTCCGTCTAGTGGTTATGGGAAGATATTTGCTTTTTCACCGAAGGCCTCAGAGCGCTCCAAATATCCACTTGCACATACTACAAAAAGAGCGCCTCAAAGCTGCTCTCTGAAACGGAATGTTCAACTCTATGAGTTGAATGCAAACATCGCAAAGACGTTTCTGAGAATGCTTCTGTCTAGATTTGATATGAAGATATTCCCGTTTCCAACAAAATCTTCAAATCTATCCAAATGTCCACTTGCAGATTCAACAAAGTGTTTTTCAGAACTGCTCTATCAAAAGAAAGATCCACCTCTGTTAGCTGAGATCACACTTCACAAACAAGTTTATCAGAATGCTTCTGTCTAGTTTTTATTTGAAGATATTTCGTTTCTCACCATAGAGCTGAAAGCTGTCCTAATGTTCACTTCCAGATACTACAGAGTGTTTCAAAACTGCTGTACGAAAGGGAATGTTCAACTCTGTGAGTTGAATGCACACATCACAAAGAAGTTTCTGAGGATGCTGCTGTCTAATTTTTATACGTAATCCCGTTTACAACGAAATCCTCCAAGCTATCCAAATATGCACTTGCAGATTCCACAGAAAGACTGTTTCAAAACTGCTCTGTCAATAGAAAGGTTCAACTCTGTTAGCTGCGTGCATATATCCCAAAGAAGATTCTGAGATTCCTTCTGTCTAGTTTTTATGGGAAGATATTTCCCTTTTCACCATAGGCGTCAAGGTGCTCCAAATGTCCACTTCCAGATACTACAAGAAGAGTGTTTCAAACCTACTCTGTGAAAGGGAATATTCAACTCTGTGACTTGAATGCAGGTATCACAAAGAAGTTTCTGAGAATGCTTCTGTCGAGCATTTTATATGAAGATATTCCAGTTTCCAACGAAATCCTGAAATCTATCCAAATATCCCCTCGCAGATTCTACAAAAAGAGTGTTTCAAAACTGCTCTGTAAAAAGAAAGGTTCAACTCTGTTAGTTGAGTACACACATCACAAACAAGTTTCACAGAATGCTTCTTTCTAGCTTGTAGGGGAAGATATTCCCTTTATCACCATGGGCCTCCAACCGTCCGAAACATCCACTTCCATATACTACAAAAAGAGCATTTCAAACCTGCTCTATGAAAGGCAATGTTCAACTCTGTGACTTGAATGCAGACATCACAGAGCAGTTTACTGAGAATGCTTCTGTCTAGGATTTTATAGGAAGATATTCCCGTTTCCAACGAAATCTTCACAGCTATCCAAATATCCACTTGCAGATTCTACAAAAAGAGTGTATCAAACCTGCTCTGTCAAAAGGAAGGTTCTTCTCTGTTAGGTGAGTGCATACGTCATAAAGGAGTTTCTGAGAATGTTTCTGTCTAGTGGTTATGGGAAGATATTTGCTTTTTCACCGTAGGCCACAGAGCGATCAAAATATCCACTTGCACATACTACAAAAAGAGTGCTTCAAAGCTGCTCTCTGAAAGTGAATGTTCAACTCTATGAGTTGAATGGAAACATCACAAAGACGTTTCTGAGAATGCTTCTGTCTAGATTTGATATGAAGATATTCCCGTTTCCAACGAAATCTTCAAATCTATCCAAATGTCCACTTGGAGATTCAACAAAAAGTGTTTTTCAGAACTGCTCTATCAAAAGAAAGATCCACCTCTGTTAGCTGAGTTCACACATCACAAACAAGTTTATGAGAATGCTTCTGTCTAGTTTTTATTTGAAGATATATCCTTTCTCACTATAGACATGAAAGCTCTCCTAATGTTCACTTCCAGATACTACAGAAAGAGTGTTTCAAAACTGCTGTACGAAAGGGAATGTTCATCTCTGTGACTTGAATGCACACATCACAAGGAAGTTTCTGAGGATGCTGCTGTCTACTTTTTATACCTAATCCCGTTTCCAACGAAATCCTCCAATCTATCCAAACATCCACTTGCAGATTCCACAGAAAGACTGTTTCAAAACTGCTCTGTCAATAGAAAGGTTCAACTCTGTCAGCTGCGTGCATATATCCCAAAGAAGATTCTGAGATTGCTTCTGTCTACTTTTTATGAGAAGATATTTCCCTTTTCACCGTAGGCGTCAAGGTGCTCAAAATGTCCACTTCCAGTTACTACAAAAAGAGTGTTTCAAACCTACTCTGTGAAAGGGAATATTCAACTCTGTGACTTGAATGCACATATCACAAAGAAGCTTCTGAGAATGCTTCTGTCGAGATTTTATATGAAGATATTCCCGTTTCCAACGAAATCCTGAAATCTATCCAAATATCCCCTCGCAGATTCTACAAAAAGAGTGTTTCAAAACTGCTCTGTAAAAAGAAAGGTTCAACTCTGTTATTTGAGTACACACATCACAAACAAGTTTCACAGAATGCTTCTTTCTAGCTTGTAGGGGAAGATAATCCCTTTATCACCATGGGCCTCAAACCGTCCGAAACGTCCACTTCCATATACTACAAAAAGAGCGTTTCAAACCTGCTGTAGGAAAGGCAATGTTCAACTCTGTGACTTGAATGCAGACATCACAGAGCAGTTTCTGAGAATGCTTCTGTCTAGATTTTATAGGAAGATATTCCCGTTTCCAACGAAATCTTCACAGCTATCCAAATATCCACTTGCAGATTCTACAAAAAGAGTGTATCAACACTGCTCTGTCAAAAGGAAGGTTCTTCTCTGTTGGCTGAGTGCATACGTCAGAAAGGAGTTTCTGAGAATGTTTCTGTCTAGTGGTTATGGGAAGATATTTGCTTTTTCACCGTAGGCCTCAGAGCACTCCAAATATCCACTTGCACATACTACAAAAAGAGTGCTTCAAAGCTGCTCTCTGAAACGGAATGTTCAACTCTATGAGTTGAATGCAAACATCGCAAAGACGTTTCTGAGAATGCTTTTGTCTAGATTTGATATGAAGATATTCCCGTTTCCAACGAAATCTTCAAATCTATCCAAATGTCCACTTGCAGATTCAACAAAAAGTGTTTTTCAGAACTGCTCTATCAAAAGAAAGATCCACGTGTGTTAGCTGAGTTCACACATCACAAACAAGTTTATGAGAATGCTTCTGTCTAGTTTTTATTTGAAGATATTTCCTTTCTCACCATAGAGCTGAAAGCTGTCCTAATGTTCACCTCCAGATACTACAGAAAGAGTGTTTCAAAACTGCTGTACGAAAGGGAATGTTCAACTCTGTGACTTGAATGCACACATCACAAAGAAGTTTCTGAGGATGCTGCTGTCTACTTTTTATACTTAATCCCGTTTCCAACGAAATCCTCCAAGCTATCCGAATATCCACTTGCAGATTCCACAGAAAGACTGTTTCAAAACTGCTCTGTCAATAGAAAGGTTCAACTCTGTTAGCTGCGTGCATATATCCCAAAGAAGATTCTGAGATTGCTTCTGTCTACTTTTTATGAGAAGATATTTCCCTTTTCACCGTAGGCGTCAAGGTGCTCCAAATGTCCACTTCCAGATACTACAAAAAGAGTGTTTCAAACCTACTCTGTGAAAGGGAATATTCAAGTCTGTGACTTGAATGCACATATCACAAAGAAGCTTCTGAGAATGCTTCTGTCGAGATTTTATATGAAGATATTCCCGTTCCCAACGAAATCCTGAAATCTATCCAAATATCCCCTCACAGATTCTACAAAAAGAGTGTTTCAAAACTGCTCTGTAAAAAGAAAGGTTCAACTCTGTTAGTTGAGTACACACATCACAAACAAGTTTCACAGAATGCTTCTTTCTAGCTTGTAGGGGAAGATATTCCCTTTATCACCATGGGCCTCAAACCGTCCGAAACGTCCACTTCCATATACTACAAAAAGAGCGTTTCAAACCTACTCTATGAAAGGCAATGTTCAACTCTGTGACTTGAATGCAGACATCACAGAGGAGTTTCTGAGAATGCTTCTGTCTAGATTTTATAGGAAGATATTCCCGTTTCCAACGAAATCTTCACAGCTATCCAAATATCCACTTGCAGATTCTACAAAAAGAGTGTATCAAAACTGCTCTGTCAAAAGGAAGGTTCTTCTCTGTTAGGTGAGTGCATACGTCATAAAGGAGTTTCTGAGAATGATTCTGTCTAGTGGTTATGGGAAGATATTTGCTTTTTCACCGAAGGCCTCAGAGCGCTCCAAATATCCACTTGCACATACTACAAAAAGAGTGCCTCAAAGCTGCTCTCTGAAACGGAATGTTCAACTCTATGAGTTGAATGCAAACATCACAAAGACGTTTCTGAGAATGCTTCTGTCTAGATTTGATATGAAGATATTCCCGTTTCCAACGAAATCTTCAAATCTATCCAAATGTCCACTTGCAGATTCAACAAAAAGTGTTTTTCAGAACTGCTCTATCAAAAGAAAGATCCACCTCTGTTAGCTGAGTTCACACATCACAAACAAGTTTATGAGAACGCTCTGTCTAGTTTTTATTTGAAGATATTTCCTTTCTCACCATAGACCTGAAAGCTGTCCTAATGTTCACTTCCAGATACTACAGAAAGAGTGTTTCAAAACTGCTGTACGAAAGGGAATGTTCAACACTGTGACTTGAATGCACACATCACAAAGAAGTTTCTGAGGATGCTGGCTGTCTACTTTTTATACGTAATCCCGTTTCCAACGAAATCCTCCAAGCTATCCAAATATCCACTTGCAGATTCCACAGAAAGACTGTTTCAAAACTGCTCTGTCAATAGAAAGGTTCAACTCTGTTAGCTGCGTGCATATATCCCTAAGAAGATTCTGAGATTGCTTCTGTCTAGTTTTTATGGGAAGATATTTCCCTTTTCACCGTAGGCGTCAAGGCGCTGCAAATGTCCACTTCCAGATACTACAAAAAGAGTGTTTCAAACCTACTCTGTGAAAGGGAATATTCAACTCTGTGACTTGAAGGCAGATATCACAAAGAAGTTTCTGAGAATGCTTCTGTCGAGATTTTATATGAAGATATTCCCGTTTCCAACGAAATCCTGAAATCTATCCAAATATCCGCTCGCAGATTCTACAAAAAGAGTGTTTCAAAACTGCTCTGTGAAAAGAAAGGTTCAACTCTGTTAGTTAAGTACACACATCACAAACAAGTTTCACAGAATGCTTCTTTCTAGCTTGTAGGGGAAGATATTCCCTTTATCACCATGGGCCTCAAACCGTCTGAAACGTCCACTTCCATATACTACAAAAAGAGCATTTCAAACCTGCTCTATGAAAGGCAATGTTCAACTCTGTGACTTGAATGCAGACATCACAGAGCAGTTTCTTAGAATGCTTCTGTCTAGATTTTATAGGAAGATATTCCCGTTTCCAACGAAATCTTCACTGCTATCCAAATATCCACTTGCAGATTCTACAAAAAGAGTGTATCAAAACTGCTCTGTCAAAAGGAAGGTTCTTCTCTGTTAGGTGAGTGCATACGTCATAAAGGAGTTTCTGAGAATGTTTCTGTCTAGTGGTTATGGGAAGATATTTGCTTCTTCACCTTAGGCCTCAGAGCGCTCCAAATATCCCCTTGCACATACTACAAAAAGAGTGCTTCAAAGCTGCTCTCTGAAAGGGAATGTTCAACTCTATGGGTTGAATGCAAACATCACAAAGACGTTTCTGAGAATGCTTCTGTCTAGATTTGATATGAAGATATTCCCGTTTCCAACGAAATCTTCAAATCTATCCAAATGTCCACTTGCAGATTCAACAAAAAGTGTTTTTCAGAACTGCTCTATCAAAAGAAAGATCCACCTCTTTTAGCTGAGTTCACACATCACAAACAAGTTTATGAGAATGCTTCTGTCTAGTTTTTATTTGAAGATATTTCCTTTCTCACCATAGACCTGAAAGCTGTCCTAATGTTCACTTCCAGATACTACAGAAAGAGTGTTTCAAAACTGCTGTATGAAATGGAATGTTCAACTCTGTGACTTGAATGCACACATCACAAATAAGTTTCTGAGGATGCTGCTGTCTACTTTTTATACGTAATCCCGTTTCCAACGAAATCCTCCAAGCTATCCAAATATCCACTTGCAGATTCCACAGAAAGACTGTTTCAAAACTGCTATGTCAATAGAAAAGTTCAACTCTGTTAGCTGTGTGCATATATCCCAAAGAAAATTCTGAGATTGCTTTCTGTCTAGTTTTTATGGGAAGATATTTCCCTTTTCACCGTAGGTGTCAAGGCGCTCCAAATGTCCACTTCCAGATACTACAAAAAGAGTGTTTCAAACCTACTCTGTGAAAGGGAATATTCAACTCTGTGACTTGAATGCACATATCACAAAGAAGTTTTTGAGAATGCTTCTGTCGAGATTTTATATGAAGATATTCCCGTTTCCAACGAAATCCTGAATTCTATCCAAATATTCCCTCGCAGATTCTACAAAAAGAGTGGTTCAAAACTGCTCTGTAAAAAGAAAGGTTCAACTCTGTTAGTTGAGTACACACATCACAAACAAGTTTCACAGAATGCTTCTTTCTAGCTTGTAGGGCAAGATATTCCCTTTATCACCATGGGCCTCAAACCGTCCGAAACGTCCACTTCCATATACTACAAAAAGAGCGTTTCAAACCTGTTCTAGGAAAGGCAATGTTCAACTCTGTGACTTGAATGCAGACATCACAGAGCAGTTTCTGAGAATGCTTCTGTCTAGATTTTATAGGAAGATATTCCCGTTTCCAACGAAATCTTCACAGCTATCCAAATATCCACTTGAAGATTCTACAAAAAGAGTGTATCAAAACTGCTCTGTCAAAAGGTAAGTTCTTCTCTGTTAGGTGAGTGCATACGTCATAAAGGAGTTTCTGAGAATGTTTCTGTCTAGTGGTTACGGGAAGATATTTGCTTTTTCACCTTAGGCCTCAGAGCGCTCCAAATATCCACTTGCACATACTACAAAAAGAGTGCTTCAAAGCTGCTCTCTGAAAGGGAATGTTCAACTCTATGAGTTGAATGCTAACATCACAAAGACGTTTCTGAGAATGCTTCTGTCGAGATTTTATATGAAGATATTCCCGTTTCCAACGAAATCCTGAAATCTATCCAAATATCCCCTCGCAGATTCTACCAAAAGAGTGTTTCAAAACTGCTCTGTAAAAAGAAAGGTTCAACACTGTTAGTTGAGTACACACATCTCAAACAAGTTTCACAGAATGCTTCTGTCTAGTTTTTATTTGAAGATATTTCCTTTCTCACCATAGACCTGAAAGCTGTTCTAATGTTCACTTCCATATGCTACAGAAAGAGTGTTTCAAAACTGCTGTACGAAAGGGAATGTTCAACTCTGTGACTTGAATGCACACATCACAAAGAAGTTTCTGAGGATGCTGCTGTCTACTTTTTATACGTAATCCCGTTTCCAACGAAATCCTCCAAGATATCCAAATATCCACTTGCAGATTCCACAGAAAGACTGTTTCAAAACTGCTCTGTCAATAGAAAGGTTCAACTCTGTTAGCTGCGTGCATATATCCCAAAGAAGATTCTGAGATTGCTTCTGTCTAGTTTTTATGGGAAGATATTTCCCTTTTCACCGTAGGCGTCAAGGCGCTCCAAATGTCCACTTCCAGATACTACAAAAAGAGTGTTTCAAATCTACTCTGTGAAAGGGAATATTCAACTCTGTGACTTGAATGCACATATCACAAAGAAGTTTCTGAGAATGCTTCTGTCGAGATTTTATATGAAGATATTCCCGTTTCCAACGAAATCCTGAAATCTATCCAAATATCCACTCGCAGATTCTACAAAAAGAGTGGTTCAAAACTGCTCTGTAAAACGAAAGGTTCAACTCTGTTAGTTGAGTACACACATCACAAACAAGTTTCACAGAATGCTTCTTTCTAGCTTGTAGGGGAAGATATTCCCTTTATCACCATGGGCCTCAAACCGTTCGAAACGTCCACTTCCATATACTACAAAAAAGCGTTTCAAACCTGCTCTATGAAAGGCAATGTTCAACTCTGTGACTTGAATGCAGACATCACAGAGCAGTTTCTGAGAATGCTTCTGTCCAGACTTTATAGGAAGATATTCCCGTTTCCAACGAAATCTTCACAGCTATCCAAATATCCACTTGCAGATACTATAAAAAGTGTGTATCCAAAGTGCTCTGTCAAAAGGAAAGTTCTTCTCTGCTACTTGAGTACATACGTCATAAAGAAGTTTCTGAGAATGTTTCTGTCTAGTGGTTATGGGAAGATATTTGCTTTTTCCCCGTAGGCCTCAAAGCGCTCCAAATGTCCACTTGCACATACTACAAAAAGAGTGCTTCAAAGCTGCTCTCTGAAAGGGAATGTTCAACTCTATGAGTTGAATGCTAACATCACAAAGACGTTTCTGAGAATGCTTCTGTCTAGATTTGATATGAAGATATTCCCGTTTCCAACGAAATCTTCAAATCTTTCCAAATGTCCACTTGCAGATTCAACAAAAAGTGTTTTTCAGAACTGCTCTATCAAAAGAAAGATCCACCTCTGTTAGATGAGTTCACACATCACAAACAAGTTTATGAGAATGCTTCTGTCTAGTTTTTATTTGAAGATATTTCCTTTCTCACCATAGACCTGAAAGCTGTCCTAATGTTCACTTCCAGATACTACAGAAAGAGTGATTCAAAACTGCTGTACGAAAGGGAATGTTCAACTCTGTGACTTGAATGCACACATCACAAAGAAGTTTCTGAGGATGCTGCTGTCTACTTTTTATACGTAATCCCGTTTCCAACGAAATCCTCCAAGCTATCCAAATATCCACTTGCAGATTCCACAGAAAGACTGTTTCAAAACTGCTCTGTCAATAGAAAGGTTCAACTCTATTAGCTGCGTACATATATCCCAAAGAAGATTCTGAGATTGCTTTCTGTCTACTTTTTATGAGAGGATATTTCCCTTTTCACCGTAGGCGTCAAGGCGCTCCAAATGTCCACTTCCAGATACTACAAAAAGAGTGTTTCAAACCTACTCTGTGAAAGGGAATATTCAACTCTGTGACTTGAATGCAGATATCACAAAGAAGTTTCTGAGAATGCTTCTGTCCAGATTTTATATGAAGATATTCCCGTTTCCAACGAAATCCTGAAATCTATCCAAATATCCCCTCGCAGATTCTACAAAAAGAGTGTTTCAAAACTGCTCTGTAAAAAGAAAGGTTCAACTCTGTTAGTTGAGTACACACATCACAAACAAGTTTCACAGAATGCTTCTTTCTAGCTTGTAGGGGAAGATATTCCCTTTATCACCATGGGCCTCCAACCGTCCGAAACATCCACTTCCATATACTACAAAAAGAGCGTTTCAAACCTGCTCTATGAAAGGCAATGTTCAACTCTGTGAGTTGAATGCAGACATCACAGAGCAGTTTCTGAGAATGCTTCTGTCTAGATTTTATAGGAAGATATTCCCGTTTCCAACGAAATCTTCACAGATATCCAAATATCCACTTGCAGATGCTACAAAAAGAGTGTATCAAAAATGCTCTGTCAAAAGGAAGGTTCTTACTGTGTTAGGTGAGTGCATACGTCATAAAGGAGTTTCTGAGAATGTTTCTGTGTAGTGGTTATGGGAAGATATTTGCTTTTTCACCGTAGGCCTCAGAGCGCTCCAAATATCCACTTGCACATACTACAAAAAGAGTGCTTCAAAGCTGGTCTCTGAAAGGGAATGTTCAACTCTATGAGTTGAATGCAAACATCGCAAAGACGTTTCTGAGAATGCTTCTGTCTAGATTTGATATGAAGATATTCCCGTTTACAACGAAATCTTCAAATCTATCCAAATGTCCACTTGCAGATTCAACAAAAAGTGTTTTTCAGAACTGCTCTATCAAAAGAAAGATCCACCTCTGTTAGCTGAGTTCAGACATCACAAACAAGTTTATGAGAATGCTTCTGTCTAGTTTTTATTAGAAGATATTTCCTTTCTCACCATAGACCTGAAAGCTGTCCTAATGTTCACTTCCAGTTACTACAGAAAGAGTGTTTCAAAACTGCTGTACGAAAGGGAATGTTGAACTCTGTGACTTGAATGCACACATCACAAAGAAGTTTCTGAGGATGCTGCTGTCTACTTTTTATGCGTAATCCCGTTTCCAACGAAATCCTCCAAGCTATCCAAATATCCACTTGCAGATTCCACAGAAAGACTGTTTCAAAACTGCTCTGTCAATAGAAAGGTACAACTCTGTTAGCTGCGTGCATATATCCCAAAGAAGATTCTGAGATTGCTTCTGTCTAGTTTTTATGGGAAGATATTTCCCTTTTCACCGTAGGCGTCAATGCGCTCCAAATGTCCACTTCCAGATGCTACAAAAAGAGTGTTTCAAACCTACTCTGTGAAAGGGAATATTCAACTCTGTGACTTGAATGCAGATATCACAAAGAAGTTTCTGAGAATGCTTCTGTCGAGATTTTGTATGAAGATATTCCCGTTTCCAATGAAATCCTGAAATCTATCCAAATTTCCCCTCGCAGATTCTACAAAAAGAGTGTTTCAAAACTGCTCTGTAAAAAGAAAGGTTCAACTCTGTTAGTTGAGTACACACATCACAAACAAGTTTCACAGAATGCTTCTTTCTAGCTTGTAGGGGAAGATATTCCCTTTATCACCATGGGCCTCCAACCGTCCGAAAAGTCCACTTCCATATACTACAAAAAGAGCATTTCAAACCTGCTCTATGAAAGGCAATGTTCAACTCTGTGACTTGAATGCAGACATCACAGAGCAGTTTCTGAGAATGCTTCTGTCCAGACTTTATAGGAAGATATTCCCGATTCCAACGAAATCTTCACAGCTATCCAAATATCCACTTGCAGATACTACAAAAAGAGTGTATCAAAAGTTCTCTGTCAAAAGGAAAGTTCTTCTCTGCTAGTTGAGTACATACGTCATAAAGAAGTTTCTGAGAATGTTTCTGTCTAGTGGTTATGGGGAGATATTTGCTTTCTCACCGTAGGCCTCAGAGCGCTCCAAATATCCACTTGCACATACTACAAAAAGAGTGCTTCAATGCTGCTCTCTGAAACGGAATGTTCAACTCTATGAGTTGAATGCAAACATCACAAAGACGTTTCTGAGAATGCTTCTGTCTAGATTTGATATGAAGATATTCCCGTTTCCAACGAAATCTTCAAATCTATACAAATGTCCACTTGCAGATTCAACAAAAAGTGTTTTTCAGAACTGCTCTATCAAAAGAAAGATCCACCTCTGTTAGCTGAGTTCACACATCACAAACAAGTTTATGAGAATGCTTCTGTCTAGTTTTTATTTGAAGATATTGCCTTTCTCACCATAGACCTGAAAGCTGTCCTAATGTTCACTTCCAGATACTACAGAAAGAGTGTTTCAAAACTGCTGTACGAAAGGGAATGTTCAACTCTGTGACTTGAATGCACACATCACAAAGAAGTTTCAGAGGAGGCTGCTGTCTACTTTTTATACGTAATCCCGTTTCAAACGAAATCCTCCAAGCTATCCAAATATCCACTTGCAGATTCCACAGAAAGACTGTTTCAAAACTGCTCTGTCAATAGAAAGGTTCAACTCTGTTAGCTGCGTGCATATATCCCAAAGAAGATTCTGAGATTGCTTCTGTCTAGTTTTTATTGGAAGATATTTCCCTTTTCACCGTAGGTGTCAAGGTGCTCCAAATGTCCACTTCCAGATACTACAAAAAGAGTGTTTCAAACCTACTCTGTGAAAGGGAATATTCAACTCTGTGACTTGAATGCAGATATCACAAAGAAGTTTCTGAGAATGCTTCTGTCGAGATTTTATATGAAGATATTCCCGTTTCCAACGAAATGCTGAAATGTATCCAAATATCCCCTCGCAGATTCTACAAAAAGAGTGTTTCAAAACTGCTCTGTAAAAAGAAAGGTTCAACTCTGTTAGTTGAGTACACACATCACAAATAAGTTTCACACAATGCTTCTTTCTAGCTTGTAGGTGAAGATATTCCCTTTATCACCATGGGCCTCAAACCGTCCGAAACGTCCACTTCCATATACTACAAAAAGAGCGTTTCAAACCTGCTCTATGAAAGGCAATGTTCAACTCTGTGACTTGAATGCAGACATCACAGAGCAGTTTCTGAGAATGCTTCTGTCTAGATTTTATAGGAAGATATTCCCGTTTCCAACGAAAACTTCACAGCTATCGAATATCCACTTGCAGATTCTACAAAAAGAGTGTATCAAAACTGCTCTGTCAAAAGGAAGGTTCTTCTCTGTTAGGTGAGTGCATACGTCATAAAGGAGTTTCTGAGAATGTTTCTGTCTAGTGGTTATGGGAAGATATTTGCTTTTTCACCGTAGGCCTCAGAGCGCTCCAAATATCCACTTGCACATACTACAAAAAGAGTGCTTCAAAGCTGCTCTCTGAAACGGAATGTTCAACTCTATGAGTTGAATGCAAACATCACAAAGACGTTTCCAAGAATGCTTCTGTCTAGATTTGATATGAAGATATTCCCGTTTCCAACGAAATCTTCAAATCTATCCAAATGTCCACTTGCAGATTCAACAAAATGTGTTTTTCAGAACTGCTCTATCAAAAGAACGATCCACCTCTGTTAGCTGAGTTCACACATCACAAACAAGTTTATGAGAATGCTTCTGTCTAGTTTTTATTTGAAGATATTTCCTTTCTCACCATAGACCTGAAAGCTGTCCTAATGTTCACTTCCAGATACTACAGAAAGAGTGTTTCAATACTGCTGTACAAAAGGGAATGTTCAACTCTGTGACTTGAATGCACACATCAAAAGGAGGTTCTGAGGATGCTGCTGTCTACTTATTATACGTAATCCCGTTTCCAACGAAATCCTCCAAGCTATCCAAATATCCACTTGCAGATTCCACAGAAAGACTCTTTCAAAACTGCTCTGTCAATAGAAAGGTTCAACTCTGTTAGCTGCGTGCATATATCCCAAAGAAGATTCTGAGGTTGCTTCTGTCTAGTTTTTATGGGAAGATATTTCCCTTTTCACGGTAGGCGTCAAGGCGCTCCAAATGTCCACTTCCAGATACTACAAAAAGAGTGTTTCAAACCTACTCTGTGAAAGGGAATATTCAACTCTGTGACTTGAATGCACATATCACAAAGAAGTTTCTGAGAATGCTTCTGTCGAGATTTTATATTAAGATATTCCCGTTTCCAACGAAATCCTGAAATCTATCCAAATATCCCCTCACAGATTCTACAAAAAGAGTGTTTCAAAACTGCTCTGTAAAAAGAAAGGTTCAACTCTGTTAGTTGAGTACACACATCACAAACAAGTTTCACAGAATGCTTCTTTCTAGCTTGTAGGGAAAGATATTCCCTTTATCACCATGGGCCTCAAACCGTCCGATAAGTCCACTTCCATATACTACAAAAAGAGCGTTTCAAACCTGCTCTATGAAAGGCAATGTTCAACTCTGTGACTTGAATGCAGACATCACAGAGCAGTTTCTGAGAATGCTTCTGTCTAGATTTTATAGGAAGATATTCCCGTTTCCAACGAAATCTTCACAGCTATCCAAATATCCACTTGCAGATTCAACAAAAAGAGTGTATCAAAACTGCTCTGTCAAAAGGAAGGTTCTTTTCTGTTAGGTGAGTGCATACGTCATAAAGGAGTTTCTGAGAATGTTTCTGTCTAGTGGTTATGGGAAGATATTTGCTTTTTCACCGTAGGCCTCAGAGCGCTCCAAATATCCACTTGCACATACTAGAAAAAGAGTGCCTCAAAGCTGCTCTCTGAAACGGAATGTTCAACTCTATGAGTTGAATGCAAACATCACAAAGACGTTTCTGAGAATGCTTCTGTCTAGATTTGATATGAAGATATTCCCGTTTCCAACGAAATCTTCAAATCTATCCAAATGTCCACTTGCAGATTCAACAAAAAGTGTTTTTCAGAACTGCTCTATCAAAAGAATGATCCACCTCTGTTAGCTGAGTTCAGACATCACAAACAAGTTTATGAGAATGCTTCTGTCTAGTTTTTATTTGAAGATATTTCCTTTCTCACCATAGACCTGAAAGCTCTCCTAATGTTCACTTCCAGACACTACAGAAAGAGTGTTTCAAAACTGCTGTATGAAAGGGAATGTTCAACTCTGTGACTTGAATGCACACATCACAAAGAAGTTTCTGAGGATGCTGCTGTCTACTTTTTATACTTAATCCCGTTTCCAAAGAAATCCTCCAAGCTATCCAAATATCCACTTGCAGATTCCACAGAAAGACTGTTTCAAAACTGCTCTGTCAATAGAAAGGTTCAACTCTGTTAGCTGCGTGCATATATCCCAAAGAAGATTCTGAGATTGCTTCTGTCTAGTTTTTATGGGAAGATATTTCCCTTTTCACCGTAGGTGTCAAGGCGGTCCAAATGTCCACTTCCAGATACTACAAAAAGAGTGTTTCAAACCTACTCTGTGAAAGGGAATATTGAACACTGTGACTTGAATGCAGATATCACAAAGAAGTTTCTGAGAATGCTTCTGTCGAGATTTTATATGAAGATATTCCCCTTTCCAACGAAATCCTGAAATCTATCCAAATATCCCCTCGCAGATTCTACAAAAAGAGTGTTTCAAAACTGCTCTGTAAAAAGAAAGGTTCAACTCTGTTAGTTGAGTACACACATCACAAACAAGTTTCACAGAATGCTTTCTTTCTAGCTTGTAGGGGAAGATATTCCCTTTATCACCATGGGCCTCAAACCGTCCGAAACGTCCACTTACATATACTACAAAAAGAGCGTTTCAAACCTGCTCTAGGAAAGGCAATGTTCAACTCTGTGACTTGAATGCAGACATCACAGAGCAGTTTCTGAGAATGCTTCTGTCTAGATTTTATAGGAAGTTATTCCCGTTTCCATCGAAATCTTCACAGGTATCCAAATATCCACTTGCAGATTCTACAAAAAGAGTGTATCAAAACTGCTCTGTCAAAAGGAAGGTTCTTCTCTGTTAGGTGAGTGCATACGTCATAAAGGAGTTTCTGAGAATGTTTCTGTCTAGTGGTTATGGGAAGATATTTGCTTTTTCACCTTAGGCCTCAGAGCACTCCAAATATCCCCTTGCACATACTACAAAAAGAGTGCTTCAAAGCTGCTCTCTGAAACGGAATGTTCAACTCTATGAGTTGAATGCAAACATGACAAAGACGTTTCCGAGAATGCTTATCTGTCTAGATTTGATATGAAGATATTCCCGTTTCCAACGAAATCTTCAAATCTATCCAAATGTCCACTTGCAGATTCAACAAAAAGTGTTTATCAGAACTGCTCTATCAAAAGAAAGATCCACCTCTGTTAGCTGAGTTCACACTTCACAAACAAGTTTATCAGAATGCTTCTGTCTAGTTTTTATTTGAAGATATTTCCTTTCTCACCATAGACCTGAAAGCTGTCCTAATGTTCACTTCCAGATACTACAGAAAGAGTGTTTCAAAACTGCTGTACGAAAGGGAATGTTCAACTCTGTGACTTGAATGCACACATCAGAAAGAAGTTTTCTGAGGATGCTGCTGTCTACTTTTTATACGTATTCCCGTTTCCAACGAAATCCTCCAAGCTATCCAAATATCCACTTGCAGATTCCACAGAAAGACTGTTTCAAAACTGCTCTGTCAATAGAAAGGTTCAACTCTATTAGCTGCGTACATATATCCCAAAGAAGATTCTGAGATTGCTTCTGTCTAGTTTTTATGGGAAGATATTTCCCTTTTCACCGTAGGTGTCAAGGCGCTCCAAATGTCCACTTCCAGATACTACAAAAAGAGTGTTTCAAACCAACTCTGTGAAAGGGAATATTCAACTCTGTGACTTGAATGCACACAACACAAAGAAGTTTCTGAGGATGCTTCTATCGAGATTTTATATGAAGATATTCCCGTTTCCAACGAAATCCTGAAATCTATCCAAATATCCCCTCGCAGATTCTACAAAAAGAGTGTTTCAAAACTGCTCTGTAAAAAGAAAGGTTCAACTCTGTTAGTTGAGTACACATATCACAAACAAGTTTCACACAATGCTTCTTTCTAGCTTGTAGGGGAAGATATTTCCTTTATCACCATGGGCCTCAAACCATCCGAAACGTCCACTTCCATATACTAAAAAAAGAGTGTTTGAAACCTGCTCTATGAAAGGCAATGTTCAACTCTGTGACTTGAATGCAGACATCACAGTAGCAGTTTCTGAGAATGCTTCTGTCCAGACTTTATAGGAAGATATTCCCGTTTCCAACGAAATCTTCACAGCTATCCAAATATCCACTTGCAGATACTACAAAAAGAATGTATCAAAAATGCTCTGTCAAAAGGAAAGTTCTTCTCTGCTAGTTGAGTACATACGTCATAAAGGAGTTTCTGAGAATGTTTCTGTCTAGTGGTTATGGGAAGATATTTGCTTTTTCACAGAAGGCCTCAGAGCGCTCCAAATATCCACTTGCACATACTACAAAAAGAGTGCCTCAAAGCTGCTCTCTGAAACGGAATGTTCAACTTTGTGAGTTGAATGCAAACATCACAAAGACGTTTCCGAGAATGCTTCTGTCTAGATTTGATATGAAGATATTCCCGTTTCCAACGAAATCTTCAAATCTATCAAAATGTCCACTTGCAGATTCAACAAAAAGTGTTTTTCAGAACTGCTCTATCAAAAGAAAGATCCACCTCTGTTAGCTGAGTTCACACTTCACAAACAAGTTTATCAGAATGCTTCTGTCTAGTTTTTATTTGAAGATATATCCTTTCTCACTATAGACCTGAAAGCTCTCCTAAAGTTCACTTCCAGATACTACAGAAAGAGTGTTTCAAAACTGCTGTAAGAAAGGGAATGTTCATCTCTGTGACTTGAATGCACACATCACAAGGATGTTTCTGAGGATGCTGCTGTTTACTTTTTATACGTAATCCCGTTTCCAACGTAATCCTCCAGGCTATCCAAATATCCACTTGCAGATTCCACAGAAAGACTGTTTCAAATCTGCTCTGTCAATAGAAAAGTTCAACTCTATTAGCTGCGTGCATATATCCCAAAGAAGATTCTGAGATTGCTTCTGTCTAGTTTTTATGGGAAGATATTTCCCTTTTCACCGTAGGCGTCAAGGCGCTCCAAATGTCCACTTCCAGATACTACAAAAACAGTGTTTCAAACCTACTCTGTGAAAGGGAATATTCAACTCTGTGACTTGAATGCACATATCACAAAGAAGTTTCTGAGAATGCTTCTGTCGAGATTTTATATGAAGATATTCCCCTTTCCAACGAAATCCTGAAATCTATCCCAAATATCCCCTCGCAGATTCTACAAAAAGAGTGTTTCAAAACTGCTCTGTAAAAAGAAAGGTTCAACTCTGTTAGTTGAGTACACACATCACAAACAAGTTTCACAGAATGCTTCTTTCTAGCTTGTAGGGGAAGATATTCCCTTTATCACCATGGGCCTCAAACCGTCTGAAACGTCCACTTCCATATACTACAAAAAGAGCGTTTCAAACCTGCTCTATGAAAGGCAATGTTCAACTCTGTGACTTGAATGCAGACATCACAGAGCAGTTTCTGAGAATGCTTCTGTCTAGATTTTATAGGAAGATATTCCCGTTTCCAACGAAATCTTCGCAGCTATCCAAATATCCACTTGCAGATTCTACAAAAAGAGTGTATCAAAACTGCTCTGTCAAAAGGAAGGTTCTTCTGCTGTTAGGTGAGTGCATACGTCATAAAGGAGTTTCTGACAATGTTTCTGTCTAGATTTGATATAAAGATATTCCCGTTTCCAACGAAATCTTCAAATCAATCCAAATGTCCACTTGGAGATTCAACAAAAAGTGTTTTTCCGAACTGCTCTATCAAAAGAAAGATCCACCTCTGCTAGCTGAGTTCACACATCACAAACAAGTTTATGAGAATGCTTCTGTCTAGTTTTTATTTGAAGATATTTCCTTTCTCACCATAGACCTGAAAGCTGTCCTAATGTTCACTTCCAGATACTACAGAAAGAGTGTTTCAAAACTGCTGTACGAAAGGGAAGGTTCAACTCTGTGACTTGAATGCACACATCACAAAGAAGTTTCTGAGGATGCTGCTGTCTACTTTTTATACGTAATCCCGTTTCCAACGAAATCCTCCAAGCTATCCAAATATCCACTTGCAGATTCCACAGAAGGACTGTTTCAAAACTGCTCTGTCAATAGAAAGGTTCAACTCTGTTAGCTGCGTGCATATATCCCAAAGAAGATTCTGAGATTGCTTCTGTCTAGTTTTTATGGGAAGATATTTCCCTTTTCACCGTAGGTGTCAAGGCGCTCCAAATATCCACTTCCAGATACTACAAAAAGACTGTTTCAAACCTACTCTGTGAAAGGGAATATTCAACTCTGTGACTTGAATGCAGATATCACAATGAAGTTTCTGAGAATGCTTCTGTCGAGATTTTATATGAAGATATTCCCGTTTCCAACGAAATCCTGAAATCTATCCAAATATCCCCTCGCAGATTCTACAAAAAGAGTGTTTCAAAACTGCTCTGCAAAAAGAAAGGTTCAACTCTGTTAGTTGAGTACAAACATCACAAACAAGTTTCACAGAATGCTTCTTTCTACCTTGTAGGGGAAGATATTCCCTTTAACACCATGGGCCTCAAACCGTCCGAAACGTCCACTTCCATATACTACAAAAAGAGCGTTTCAAACCTGCTCTATGAAAGGCAATGTTCAACTCTGTGACTTGAATGCAGACATCACAGAGCAGTTTCTGAGAATGCTTCTGTCTAGATTTTATAGGAAGATATTCCCGTTTCCAACGAAATCTTCACAGCTATCCAAATATCCACTTGCAGATTCTACAAAAAGAGTGTATCAAAACTGCTCTGTCAAAAGGAAGGTTCTTTTCTGTTAGGTGAGTGCATACGTCATAAAGGAGTTTACTGAGAATGTTTTCTGTCTAGTGGTTATGGGAAGATATTTGCTTTTTCACCGTAGGCCTCAGAGCGCTCCAAATATCCACTTGCACATACTACAAAAAGAGTGCCTCAAAGCTGCTCTCTGAAACGAAATGTTCAACTCTATGAGTTGAATGCAAACATCACAAAGACGTTTCAGAGAATGCTTCTGTCTAGATTTGATATGACGATATTCCCGTTTCCAACGAAATCTTCAAATCTATCCAAATGTCCACTTGCAGATTCAACAAAAAGTGTTTTTCAGAACTGCTCTATCAAAAGAAAGATCCACCTCTGTTAGCTGAGTTCACACATCACAAACAAGTTTATTAGAATGCTTCTGTCTAGTTTTTATTTGAAGATATTTCCTTTCTCACCATAGACCTGAAAGCTGTCCTAATGTTCACTTCCAGATACTACAGAAAGAGTGTTTCAAAACTGCTGTATGGAAGGGAATGTTCAACTCTGTGACTTGAATGCACACATCACAAAGAAGTTCCTGAGGACGCTGCTGTCTACTTGTTATACGTAATCCCGTTTCCAACGAAATCCTCCAAGCTATCCAAATATCCACTTGCAGATTCCACAGAAAGACTGTTTCAAAACTGCTCTGTCAATAGAAAGGTTCAACTCTGTTAGCTGCGTGCATATATCCCAAAGAAGATTCTGAGATTGCTTCTGTCTAGTTTTTATGGGAAGATATTTCCCTTTTCACCGTAGGCGTCAAGGCGCTCCAAATGTCCACTCTCAGATACTACAAAAAGAGTGTTTCAAACCTACTCTGTGAAAGGGAATATTCAACTCTGTGACTTGAAGGCAGATATCACAAAGAAGTTTCTGAGAATGCTTCTGTCGAGATTTTATATGAAGATACTCCCGTTTCCAACGAAATCCTGAAATCTATCCAAATATCCCCTCGCAGATTCTACAAAAAGAGTGTTTCAAAACTGCTCTGTAAAAAGAAAGGTTCAACTCTGTTAGTTGTGTACACACATCACAAACAAGTTTCACAGAATGCTTCTTTCTAGCTTGTAGGGGAAGATATTCCCTTTATCACCATGGGCCTCAAACCGTCCGAAAAGTCCACTTCCATATACTACAAAAAGAGCGTTTCAAACCTGCTCTATGAAACGCAATGTTCAACTCTGTGACTTGAATGCAGACATCACAGAGCAGTTTCTGAGAATGCTTCTGTATAGATTTTATAGGAAGATATTCCCGTTTCCAACGAAATCTTCACAGCTATCCAAATATCCACTTGCAGATTCTACAAAAAGATTGTATCAAAACTGCTCTGTCAAAAGGAAGGTTCTTCTCTGTTAGGTGAGTGCATACGTCATAAAGGAGTTTCTGAGAATGTTTCTGTCTAGTGGTTATGGGAAGATATTTGCTTTTTCCACCGTAGGCCTCAGAGCGCTCCAAATATCCACTTGCACATACTACAAAAAGAGTGCCTCAAAGCTGCTCTCTGAAACGGAATGTTCAACTCTATGAGTTGAATGCAAACATCGCAAAGACGTTTCTGAGAATGCTTCTGTCTAGATTTGATATGAAGATATTCCCGTTTCCAACGAAATCTTCAAATCCATCCAAATGTCCTCTTGCAGATTCAACAAAAACTGTTTTTCAGCACTGCTCTATCAAAAGAAAGATCCACGTGTGTTAGCTGAGTTCACACATCACGAACAAGTTTATGAGAATGCTTCTGTCTAGTTTTTATTTGAAGATATTGCCTTTCTCACCATAGACATGAAAGCTGACCTAATGTTCACTTCCAGATACTACAGAAAGAGTGTTTCAAAACTGCTGTACGAAAGGGAATGTTCAACTCTGTGACTTGAATGCACACATCACAAAGAAGTTTCTGAGGATGCTGCTGTCTACTTTTTATACGTAATCCCGTTTCCAACGAAATCCTCCAAGCTATCCAAATATCCACTTGCAGATTCCACAGAAAGACTGTTTCAAAACTGCTCTGTCAATAGAAAGGTTCAACTCTGTTAGCTGCGTGCATATATCCCAAAGAAGATTCTGTGATTGCTTCTGTCTAGTTTTTATGGGAAGATATTTCCCTTTTCACCGTAGGCGTCAAGGCGCTCCAAATGTCCACTTCCAGATAGTACAAAAAGAGTGTTTCAAACCTGCTCTGTGAAAGGGAATATTCAACTCTGTGACTTGAATGCACATATCACAAAGAAGTTTGCTGAGAATGCTTCTGTCGAGATTTTATATGAAGATATTCCCGTTTCCAACGAAATCCTGAAATCTATCCAAATATCCCCTCACAGATTCTACAAAAAGAGTGTTTCAAAACTGCTCTGTAAAATGAAAGGTTCAACTCTGTTAGTTGAGTACACACATCACAAACAAGTTTCACAGAATGCTTCTTTCTAGCTTGTAGGGGAAGATATTCCCTTTATCACCATGGGCCTCAAATCGTCCGATAAGTCCACTTCCATATACTACAAAAAGAGCGTTTCAAACCTGCTCTATGAAAGGCAATGTTCAACTCTGTGACTTGAATGCAGACATCACAGAGCAGTTTCTGAGAATGCTTCTGTCTAGATTTTATAGGAAGATATTCCCGTTTCCAACGAAATCTTCACAGCTATCCAAATATCCACTTGCAGATTCTACGAAAAGAGTGTATCAAAACTGCTCTGTCAAAAGGAAGGTTCTTTTCTGTTAGGTGAGTGCATACGTCATAAAGGAGTTTCTGAGAATGCTTCTGTCTAGTGGTTATGGGAAGATATTTGCTTTTTCCCCGTAGGCCTCTGGGCGCTCCAAATGTCCACTTGCACATGCTACAAAAAGAGTGCTTCAAAGCTGCTCTCTGAAAGGGAATGTTCAACTCTATGAGTTGAATGCAAACATCACAAAGACGTTTCTGAGAATGCTTCTGTCTAGATTTGATATGAAGATATTCCCGTTTCCAACGAAATCTTCAAATCTATCCAAATATCCACTTGCAGATTCAACAAAAAGTGTTTTTCAGAACTGCTCTATCAAAAGAAAGATCCACCTCTGTTAGCTTAGTTCACACATCACAAACAAGTTTATGAGAATGCTTCTGTCTAGTTTTTATTTGAAGATATTTCCTTTCTCACCATAGACCTGAAAGCTGTCCTAATGTTCACTTCCAGATACTACAGAAAGAGTGTTTCAAAACTGCTGTACGAAAGGGAATGTTCAACTCTGTGACTTGAATGTACACATCACAAAGAAGTTTCTGAGGATGCTGCTGTCTACTTTTTATACGTAATCCCGTTTCCAACGAAATCCTCCAAGCTATCCAAATATCCACTTGCAGATTCCACAGAAAGACTGTTTCAAAACTGCTCTGTCAATAGAAAGGTTCAACTCTGTTAACTGCGTGCATATATCCCAAAAAAGATTCTGAGATTGCTTCTGTCTAGTTTTTATGGGAAGATATTTCCCTTTTCACCGTAGGTGTCAAGGCGCTCCAAATGTCCACTTCCAGATACTACAAAAAGAGTGTTTCAAAACTGCTGTACGAAAGGGAATGTTCAACTCTGTGACTTGAATGCACACATCACAAAGTAGTTTCTGAGGATGCTTCTGTCGAGATTTTATATGAAGATATTCCCGTTTCCGACGAAATCCTGAAATCTATCCAAATATCCCCTCGCAGATTCTACAAAAAGAGTGTTTCAAAACTGCTCTGTAAAAAGAAAGGTTCAACTCTGTTAGTTGAGTACACACATCACAAACAAGTTTCACAGAATGCTTCCTTCTAGCTGGTAGGGGAAGATATTCGCTTTATCACCATGGGCCTCAAACCGTCCGAAACGTCCACTTCCATATACTACGAAAAGAGCGTTTCAAACCTGCTCTATGAAAGGCAATGTTCAACTCTGTGACTTGAATGCAGACATCACAGAGCAGTTTCTGAGAATGCTTCTGTCTAGATTTTATAGGAAGATATTCCCGTTTCCAACGAAATCTTCACAGCTATCCAAATATCCACTTGCAGATTCTACAAAAAGAGTGTATCAAAACTGCTCTCTCAAAAGGAAGGTTCTTCTCTGCTAGTTGAGTACATACGTCATAAAGAAGTTTCTGAGAATGTTTCTGTCTAGTGGTTATGGGAAGATATTTGCTTTTTCACCTTAGGCCTCAGAGCGCTCAAAATATCCACTTGCACATACTACAAAAAGAGCGCTTCAAAGCTGCTCTCTGAAACAGAATGTTCAACTCTATGGGTTGAATGCAAACATCACAAAGACGTTTCTGAGAATGCTTCTGTCTAGATTTGATATGAAGATATTCCCGTTTCCAACGAAATCTTCAAATCTATCCAAATGTCCACTTGCAGATTCAACAAAAAGTGTTTTTCAGAACTGCTCTATCAAAAGAAAGATCCACCTCTGTTAGCTGAGTTCACACATCACAAACAAGTTTATTAGAATGCTTCTCTCAAGTTTTTATTTGAAGATATTTCCTTTCTCACCATAGTCCTGAAAGCTGTACTAATGTTCACTTCCAGATACTACAGAAAGAGTGTTTCAAAACTGCTGTACGAAAGGGAATGTTCAACTCTGTGACTTGAATGCACACATCACAAAGAAGTTTCTGAGGATGCTGCTGTCTACTTATTATACGTAATCCCGTTTCCAACGAAATCCTCCAAGCTATCCAAATATCCACTTGCAGATTCCACAGAAAGACTCTTTCAAAACTGTTCTGTCAATAGAAAGGTTCAGCTCTGTTAGCTGCGTGCATATATCCCAAAGAAGATTCTGAGATTGCTTCTGTCTAGTTTTTATGGGAAGATATTTCCCTTTTCACCGTAGGCGTCAAGGCGCTCCAAATGTCCACTTCCAGATACTACAAAAAGAGTGTTTCAAACCTACTCTGTGAAAGGGAATATTCAACTCTGTGACTTGAATGCACATATCACAAAGAAGTTTCTGAGAATGTTTCTGTCGAGATTTTATATGAAGATATTCCCGTTTCCAAAGAAATCCTGAAATCTATCCAAATATCCCCTCGCAGATTCTACAGAAAGAGTGTTTCAAAACTGCTCTGTAAAAAGAAAGGTTCAACTCTGTTACTTGAGTACACACATCACAAACAAGTTTCACAGAATGCTTCTTTCTAGCTTGTAGGGGAAGATATTTCCTTTATCACCATGGGCCTCAAACCGTCCGAAACGTCCACTTCCATATACTAAAAAAAGAGTGTTTGAAACCTCCTCTATGAAAGGCAATGTTCAACTCTGTGACTTGAATGCAGACATCACAGAGCAGTTTCTGAGAATACTTCTGTCTAGATTTTATAGGAAGATATTCTCGTTTCCAACGAAATCTTCACAGCTATCCAAATATCCACTTGCAGATTCTACAAAAAGAGTGTATCAAAACTGCTCTGTGAAAAGGAAGGTTCTTCTCTGTTAGGTGAGTGCATACGTCATAAAGGAGTTTCTGAGAATTTTTCTGTCTAGTGGTTACGGGAAGATATTTGCTTTTTCACCTTAGGCCTCAGAGCGCTCCAAATATCCACTTGCACATACTACAAAAAGAGTGCTTCAAAGCTGCTCTCTGAAACGGAATGTTCAACTCTATGAGTTGAATGCAAACATCACAAAGACGTTTCTGAGAATGCTTCTGTCTAGATTTGATATGAAGATATTCCCGTTTCCAACGAAATCTTCAAATCTATCCAAATGTCCACTTGCAGATTCAACAAAAAGTGTTTTTCTGAACTGCTCTATCAAAAGAAAGATCCACCTCTGTTAGCTGAGTTCACACATCACAAACAAGTTTATGAGAATGCTTCTGTCTAGTTTTTATTTGAAGATATTTCCTTTCTCACCATAGACCTGAAAGCTGTCCTTATGTTCACTTCCAGATACTACAGAAAGAGCGTTTCAAAACTGCTGTACGAAAGGGAATGTTCAACTCTGTGACTTGAATGCACACATCACAAAGAAGTTTCTGAGGATGCTGCTGTCTACTTTTTATACGTAATCCCGTTTCCAACGAAATCCTCCAATCTATCCAAATATCCACTTGCAGATTCCACAGAAAGACTGTTTCAAATCTGCTCAGTCAATAGAAAGGTTCAACTCTGTTAGCTGCGTGCATATATCCCAAAGAAGTTTCTGAGATTGCTTCTGTCTAGTTTTTATGGGAAGATATTTCCCTTTTCACCGTAGGCGTCAAGGCGCTCCAAATGTCCACTTCCAGATATTACAAAAAGAGTGTTTCAAACCTACTCTGTGAAAGGGAATATTCAACTCTGTGACTTGAATGCACATATCACAAAGAAGTTTCTGAGAATGCTTCTGTCGAGATTTTCTATGAAGATATTCCCGTTTCCAACGAAATCCTGAAATCTATCCAAATATCCCCTCGCAGATTCTACAAAAAGAGTGTTTCAAAACTGCTCTGTAAAAAGAAAGGTTCAACTCTGTTAGTTGAGTGCACACATCACAAACAAGTTTCACAGAATGCTTCTTTCTAGCTTGTAGGGGAAGATATTCCCTTTGTCACCATGGGCCTCAAACCGTCCGAAAAGTCCACTTCCATATACTACAAAAAGAGCATTTCAAACCTGCTCTATGAAAGGCAATGTTCAACTCTGTGACTTGAATGCAGACATCACAGAGCAGTTTCTGAGAATGCTTCTGTCTAGATTTTATAGGAAGATATTCCCGTTTCCAACGAAATCTTCACAGCTATCCAAATATCCACTTGCAGATTCTACAAAAAGAGTGTATCAAAACTGCTCTGTCAAAAGGAAGGTTCTTTTCTGTTAGGTGAGTGCATACGTCATAAAGGAGTTTCTGAGAATGTTTCTGTCTAGAGGTTATGGGAAGATATTTGCTTTTTCACCGTAGGCCTCAGAGCGCTCCAAATATCCACTTGCACATACTACAAAAAGAGTGCTTCAAAGCTGGTCTCTGAAACGGAATGTTCAACTCTATGAGTTGAATGCAAACATCACAAAGACGTTTCTGAGAATGCTTCTGTCTAGATTTGATATGAAGATATTCCCATTTCCAACGAAATCTTCAAATCTATCCAAATGTCCACTTGCAGATTCAACAAAAAGTGTTTTTCAGAACTGCTCTATCAAAAGAAAGATCCACCTCTGTTAGCTGAGTTCACACATCACAAACAAGTTTATGAGAATGTTTCTGTCCAGTTTTTTTTGAAGATATTTCCTTTCTCACCATAGACCTGAAAGCTGTCCTAATGTTCACTTCCAGATACTACAGAAAGAGTGTTTCAAAACTGCTGTACGAAAGGGAATGTTCAACTCTGTGACTTGAATGCACACATCACAAAGAAGTTTCTGAGGATGCTGCTGTCTACTTTTTATACGGTAATCCCGTTTCCAACGAAATCCTCCAAGCTATCCAAATATCCACTTGCAGATTCCACAGAAAGACTGTTTCAAAACTGCTCTGTCAATAGAAAGGTTCAACTCTGTTAGCTGCATGCATATATCCCAAAGAAGATTCTGAGATTGCTTCTGTCTAGTTTTTATGGGAAGATATTTCCCTTTTCACCGTAGGCGTCAAGGCGCTCCAAATGTCCACTTCCAGATACTACAAAAAGAGTGTTTCAAACCTCCTCTGTGAAAGGGAATATTCAACTCTGTGACTTGAATGCACATATCACAAGGAAGTTTCTGAGAATGCTTCTGTCGAGATTTTATATGAAGATATTCCCGTTTCCAACGAAATCCTGAAATCTATCAAAATATCCCCTCGCAGATTCTACAAAAAGACTGTTTCAAAACTGCTCTGTAAAAAGAAAGGTTCAACTCTGTTAGTTGAGTACACACATCACAAACAAGTTTCACAGAATGCTTCTTTCTAGCTGGTAGGGGAAGATATTCGCTGTATCACCATGGGCCTCAAACCGTCCGAAACGTCCACTTCCATATACTACAAAAAGAGCGTTTCAAACCTGCTCTATGAAAGGCAATGTTCAACTCTGTGTCTTGAATGCAGACATCACACAGCAGTTTCTGAGAATGCTTCTGTCTAGATTTTATAGGAAGATATTCCCATTTCCAACGAAATCTACACAGCTATCCAAATATCCACTTGCAGATTCTACAAAAAGAGTGTATCAAAACTGCTCTGTCAAAAGGAAGGTTCTTCTCTGTTAGTTGAGTACATACGTCATAAAGGAGTTTCTGAGAATGTTTCTGTCTAGTGGTTATGGGAAGATATTTGCTTTTTCACCGTAGGCCTCAGAGCGCTCCAAATATCCACTTGCACATACTACAAAAAGAGTGCTTCAAAGCTGCTCTCTGAAAGGGAATGTTCAACTCTATGAGTTGAATGCAAACATCACAAAGATGTTTCTGAGAATGCTTCTGTCTAGATTTGATATGAAGATATTCCCGTTTCCAACGAAATCTTCAAATCTATCCAAATGTCCACCTGCAGATTCAACAAAAAGTGTTTTTCAGAACTGCTCTATCAAAAGAAAGATCCACCTCTGTTAGCTGAGTTCACACATCACAAACAAGTTTATGAGAATGCTTCTGTCTAGTTTTTATTTGAAGATATATCCTTTCTCACTATAGACCTGAAAGCTCTCCTAAAGTTCACTTCCAGATACTACAGAAAGAGTGTTTCAAAACTGCTGTACGAAAGGGAATGTTCAACTCTGTGACTTGAATGCACACATCACAAGGAAGTTTCTGAGGATGCTGCTGTCTACTTTTTATACGTAATCCCGTTTCCAACGAAATCCTCCAAGCTATCCAAATATCCACTTGCAGATTCCACAGAAAGACTGTTTCAAAACTGCTCTGTCAATAGAAAGTTTCAACTCTGTTAGCTGCGTGCATATATCCCAAAGAAGATTCTGAGATTGCTTCTGTCTAGTTTTTATGGGAAGATATTTCCCTTTTCACCGTAGGTGTCAAGGCGCTCCAAATGTCCACTTCCAGATACTACAAAAAGAGTGTTTCAAACCTACTCTCTGAAAGGGAATATTCAACTCTGTGACTTGAATGCAGATATCACAATGAAGTTTCTGAGAATGCTTCTGTCGAGATTTTATATGAAGATATTCCCGTTTCCAACGAAATCCTGAAATCTATCCAAATATCCCCTCGTAGATTCTACAAAAAGAGTGTTTCAAAACTGCTCCGTAAAAAGAAAGGTTCAACTCTGTTAGTTGAGTACACACAACACAAACAAGTTTCACAGAATGCTTCTTTCTAGCTTGTAGGGGAAGATATTTCCTTTATCTCCATGGGCCTCAAGCCGTCCGAAACGTCCACTTCCATATATTACGAAAAGAGCGTTTCATACCTCCTCTGTGAAAGGCAATGTTCAACTCTCTGACTTGAATGCAGACATCACAGAGCAGTTTCTGAGAATGCTTCTGTCTAGATTTTATAGGAAGATATTCCCGTTTCCAACGAAATCTTCACAGCTATCCAAATATCCACTTGCAGATTCTACAAAAAGAGTGTATCAAAACTGCTCTGTCAAAAGGAAGTTTCTTTTCTGTTAGGTGAGTGCATACGTCATAAAGGAGTTTCTGAGAATGTTTCTGTCTAGTGGTTATGGGAAGATATTTGCTTTTTCACCTTAGGCCTCAGAGCGCTCCAAATATCCACTTGCACATACTACAAAAAGAGTGTTTCAAAGCTGCTCTCTGAAAGGGAATGTTCAACTCTATGAGTTGAATGCAAACATGACAAAGACGTTTCTGAGAATGCTTCTGTCTAGATTTGATATGAAGATATTCCCGTTTCCAACGAAATCTTCAAATCTATACAAATGTCCACTTGCAGATTCAACAAAAAGTGTTTTTCAGAACTGCTCTATCAAAAGAAAGATCCACCTCTGTTAGCTGAGTTCACACATCACAAAGAAGTTGATGAGAATGCTTCTGTCTAGTTTTTATTTGAAGATATTTCCTTTCTCACCATAGAGCTGAAAGCTGTCCTAATGTTCACTTCCAGATACTACAGAAAGAGAGTTTCAAAACTGCTGTACGAAAGGGAATGTTCAACTCTGTGACTTGAATGCACACATCACAAAGAAGTTTCTGAGGATGCTGCTGTCTACTTTTTATACGTAATCCCGTTTCCAACGAAATCCTCCAAGCTATCCAAATATCCACTTGCAGATTCCAAAGAAAGACTGTTTCTAAACTGCTCTGTCAATAGAAAGGTTCAACTCTGTTAGCTGCGTGCATATATCCCAAAGAAGATTCTGAGATTCCTTCTGTCTAGTTTTTATGGGAAGATATTTCCCTTTTCACCGTAGGGGTCAAGGCGCTCCAAATGTCCACTTCCAGATACTACAAAAAGAGTGTTTCAAACCTACTCTGTGAAAGGGAATATTCAACTCTGTGACTTGAATGCAGATATCATAAAGAAGTTTCTGAGAATGCTTCTGTCGAGATTTTATATGAAAATATTCCCGTTTCCAACGAAATCCTGAAATCTATCCAAATATCCCCTCGCAGATTCTACAAAAAGAGTGTTTCAAAACTGCTCTGTAAAAAGAAAGGTTCAACTCTGTTACTTGACTACACACATCACAAAGAAGTTTCACAGAATGCTTCTTTCTAGCTTGTAGGGGAAGATATTCCCTTTATCACCATGGGCCTCAAACCGTCCGAAACGTCCACTTCCATATACTACAAAAAGAGCGTTTCAAACCTGCTCTAGGAAAAGCAATGTTCAACTCTGTGACTTGAATGCAGACATCACAGAGCAGTTTCTGAGAATGCTTCTGTCTAGATTTTATAGGAAGATATTCCCGTTTCCAACGAAATCTTCAAAGCTATCCAAATATCCACTTGCAGATTCTACAAAAAGAGTGTATCAAAACTGCTCTGTCAAAAGGAAGGTTCTTCTCTGTTAGTTGAGTACATACGTCATAAAGGAGTTTCTGAGAATGTTTCTGTCTAGTGGTTATGGGAAGATATTTGCTTTTTCCCCGTAGGCCTCAGGGCGCTCCAAATGTCCACTTGCACATGCTACAAAAAGAGTGCTTCAAAGCTGCTCTCTCAAAGGGAATGTTCAACTCTATGAGTTGAATGCAAACATCACAAAGACGTTTCTGAGAATGCTTCTGTCTAGATTTGATATGAAGATATTCCCGTTTCCAACGAAATCTTCAAATCTATCCAAATGTCCACTTGCAGATTCAACAAAAAGTGTTTTTCAGAACTGCTCTATCAAAAGAAAGATCCACCTCTGTTAGCTGAGTTCAGACATCAAAACAAGTTTATGAGAATGCTTCTGCCTAGTTTTTATTTGAAGATATTTCCTTCCTCACCATAGACCTGAAAGCTGTCCTAATGTTCACTTCCAGATACTACAGAAAGAGTGTTTCAAAACTGCTGTACGAAAGGGAATGTTCAACTCTGTGACTTGAATGCACACATCACAAAGAAGTTTCTGAGGATGCTGCTGTCTACTTTTTATACGTAATCCCGTTTCCAACGAAATCCTCCAAGCTATCCAAATATCCACTTGGAGATTCCACAGAAAGACTGTTTCAAAACTGCTCTGTCAATAGAAAGGTTCAACTCTGTTAGCTGCGTGCATATATCCCAAAGAAGATTCTGAGATTGCTTCTGTCTAGTTTTTATGGGAAGATATTTCCCTTTTCACCGTAGGCGTCAAGGCGCTCCAAATGTCCACTTCCAGATACTACAAAAAGAGTGTTTCAAACCTACTCTGTGAAAGGGAATATTGAACTCTGTGACTTGAATGCACATATCACAAAGAAGTTTCTGAGAATGCTTCTGTCGAGATTTTCTATGAAGATATTCCCGTTTCCAACGAAATCCTGAAATCTATCCAAATATCCCCTCACAGATTCTACAAAAAGAGTGTTTCAAAACTGCTCTGTAAAAAGAAAGGTTCAACTCTGTTAGTTGAGTACACACATCACAAACAAGTTTCACAGAATGCTTCTTTCTAGCTTGTAGGGGAAGATATTCCCTTTATCACCATGGGCCTCAAACCGTCCAAAAAGTCCACTTCCATATACTACAAAAAGAGCGTTTCAAACCTGCTCTATGAAAGGCAATGTTCAACTCTGTGACTTGAATGCAGACATCACAGAGCAGTTTCTGAGAATGCTTCTGTCTAGATTTTATAGGAAGATATTCCCGTTTCCAACGAAATCTTCACAGCTATCCAAATATCCACTTGCAGATTCTACAAAAAGAGTGTATCAAAACTGCTCTTTCAAAAGGAAGGTTCTTCTCTGTTAGGTGAGTGCACACGTCATAAAGGAGTTTCTGAGAATGTTTCTGTCTAGTGGTTATGGGAAGATATTTGCTTTTTCACCGTAGGCCTCAGAGCGCTCCAAATATCCACTTGCACATACTACAAAAAGAGTGCTTCAAAGCTGCTCTCTGAAACGGAATGTTCAACTCTATGAGTTGAATGCAAACATCACAAAAACGTTTCTGAGAATGCTTCCGTCTAGATTTGATATGAAGATATTCCCGTTTCCAACGAAATCTTCAAATCTATCCAAATGTCCACTTGCAGATTCAACAAAAAGTGTTTTTCAGAACTGCTCTATCAAAAGAAAGATCCACCTCTGTTAGCTGAGTTCACACATCAGAAACAGGTTTATGAGAATGCTTCTGTCTAGTTTTTATTTGAAGATATTTCCTTTCTCACGATAGACCTGAAAGCTGTCCTAATGTTCACTTCCAGATACTACAGAAAGAGTGTTTCAAAACTGCTGTACGAAAGGGAATGTTCAACTCTGTGACTTGAATGCACACATCACAAAGAAGTTTCTGAGGATGCTGCTGTCTAATTTTTATACGTAATCCCGTTACCAACGAAATCCTCCAAGCTATCCAAATATCCACTTACAGATTCCACAGAAAGACTGTTTCAAAACTGCTCTGTCAATAGAAAGGTTCAACTCTGTTAGCTGCGTGCATATATCCCAAAGAAGATTCTGAGATTGCTTTCTGTCTAGTTTTTATGGGAAGATATTTCCCTTTTCACCGTAGGTGTCAAGGCGCTCCAAATGTCCACTTCCAGATACTACAAAAAGAGTGCTTCAAACCTACTCTGTGAAAGGGAATATTCAACTCTGTGACTTGAATGCACATATCACAAAGAAGTTTCTGAGAATGCTTCTGTCGAGATTTTGTATGAAGATATTCCCGTTTCCAACGAAATCCTGAAATCTATCCTAATATCCCCTCGCAGATTCTACAAAAGGAGTGTTTCAAAACTGCTCTGTGAAAAGAAAGGTTCAACTCTCTTAGTTGAGTACACACATCACAAACAAGTTTCACAGAATGCTTCTTTCTAGCTTGTAGGGGAAGATATTCCCTTTATCACCATGGGCCTCAAACTGTCCGAAAAGTCCACTTCCATATACTACAAAAAGAGCGTTTCAAACCTGCTCTATGAAAGGCAATGTTCAACTCTGTGACTTGAATGCAGACATCACAGAGCAGTTTCTGAGAATGCTTCTGTCTAGATTTTATAGGAAGATATTCCCGTTTCCAACGAAACCTTCACAGCTATCCAAATATCCACTTGCAGATTCTACAAAAAGAGTGTATCAAAACTGCTCTGTCAAAAGGAAGGTTCTTCTCTGTTAGTTGAGTACATACGTCATAAAGGAGTTTCTGAGAATGTTTCTGTCTAGTGGTTATGGGAAGATATTTGCTTTTTCACCGTAGGCCTCAGAGCGCTCCAAATATCCCCTTGCACATACTACAAAAAGAGTGCTTCAAAGCTGCGCTCTGAAAGGGAATGTTCAACTCTGTGAGTTGAATGCAAACATCACAAATACGTTTCTGAGAATGCTTCTGTCTAGATTTGATATGAAGGTATTCCCGTTTCCAACGAAATCTTCAAATCTATCCAAATGTCCACTTGCAGATTCAACAAAAAGTGTTTTTCAGAACTGCTCTATCAAAAGAAAGATCCACCTCTGTTAGCTGAGTTCACCCATCACAAACAAGTTTATGAGAATGCTTCTGTCTAGTTTTTATTTGAAGATATTTCCTTTCTCACCATAGAGCTGAAAGCTGTCCTAATGTTCACTTCCAGATACTACAGAAAGAGTGTTTCAAAACTGCTGTACGAAAGGGAATGTTCAACTCTGTGACTTGAATGCACACATCTCAAAGAAGTTTCTGAGGATGCTGCTGTCTACTTTTTATACGTAATCCTGTTTCCAACGAAATCCTCCAAGCTATCCAAATATCCACTTGCAGATTCCACAGAAAGACTGTTTCAAAACTGCTCTGTCAATAGAAAAGTTCAACTCTGTTAGCTGTGTGCATATATCCCAAAGAAAATTCTGAGATTGCTTCTGTTTAGTTTTTATGGGAAGATATTTCCCTTTTCACCGTAGGTGTCAAGGCGCTCCAAATGTCCACTTCCAGATTCTACAAAAAGAGTGTTTCAAACCTACTCTGTGAAAGGGAATATTCAACTCTGTGACTTGAATGCACATATCACAAAGAAGTTTCTGAGAATGCTTCTGTCGAGATTTTATATGAAGATATTCCCGTTTCCAATGAAATCCTGAAATCTATCCAAATATCCCCTCGCAGATTCTACAAAAAGAGTGTTTCAAAACTGCTCTGTAAAAAGAAAGGTTCAACTCTGTTAGTTGAGTACACACTTCACAAACAAGTTTCACAGAATGCTTCTTTCTAGCTTGTAGGGGAAGATATTCCCTTTATCACCATGGGCCTCAAACCGTCCGATAAGTCCACTTCCATATACTACAAAAAGAGCGTTTCAAACCTGCTCTATGAAAGGCAATGTTCAACTCTGTGACTTGAATGCAGACATCACAGAGCAGTTTCTGAGAATGCTTTCTGTCTAGATTTGATATGAAGATATTCCCGTTTCCAACGAAATCTTCACAGCTATCCAAATATCCACTGGCAGATTCTACAAAAAGAGTGTATCAAAACTGCTCTGTCAAAAGGAAGGTTCTTCTCTGTTAGGTGAGTGCATACGTCATAAAGGAGTTTCTGAGAATGTTTCTGTCTAGTGGTTATGGGAAGATATTTGCTTTTTCCCCGTAGGCCTCAGGGCGCTCCAAATGTCCACTTGCACATGCTACAAAAAGAGTGCTTCAAAGCTACTCTCTGGAAGGGAATGTTCAACTCTATGAGTTGAATGCAAACATCACAAAGACGTTTCTGAGAATGCTTTTTGTCTAGATTTGATATGAAGATATTCCCGTTTCCAACGAAATCTTCAAATCTATCCAAATGTCCACTTGCAGATTCAACAAAAAGTGTTTTTCAGAACTGCTCTATCAAAAGAAAGATCCACCTCTGTTAGCTGAGTTCACACATCACAAACAAGTTTATGAGAATGCTTCTGTCTAGTTTTTATTTGAAGATATTTCCTTTCTCACCATAGACCTGAATGCTGTCCTAATGTTCACTTCCAGATACTACAGAAAGAGTTTTTCAAAACTGCTGTACGAAAGGGAATATTTAACTCTGTGACTTGAATGCACACATCACAAAGAAGTTTCTGAGGATGCTGCTGTCTACTTTTTATAGGTAATCCCGTTTCCAACGAAATCCTCCAAGCTATCCAAATATCCACTTGCAGATTCCACAGAAAGACTGTTACAAAACTGCTCTGTCAATAGAAAGGTTCAACTCTGTTAGCTGCGTGCATATATCCCAAAGAAGATTCTGAGATTGCTTCTGTCTCGTTTTTATGGGAAGATATTTCCCTTTTCACCGTAGGTGTCAAGGCGCTCCAAATGTCCACTTCCAGATACTACAAAAAGAGTGTTTCAAACCTACTCTCTGAAAGGGAATATTCAACTCTGTGACTTGAATGCAGATATCACAATGAAGTTTCTGAGAATGTTTCTGTCGAGATTTTATATGAAGATATTACCGTTTCCAACGAAATCCTGAAATCTATCGAAATATCCCCTCGCAGATTCTACAAAAAGAGTGTTTCAAAACTGCTCTGTAAAAAGAAAGGTTCAACTCTGTTAGTTGAGTACACACATCACAAACAAGTTTCACAGAATGCTTCTTTCTAGCTTGTAGGGGAAGATATTCCCTTTATCACCATGGGCCTCAAACCGTCCGAAACGTCCACTTCCATATACTACAAAAAGAGCGTTTCAACCCTGCTCTAGGAAAGGCAATGTTCAACTCTGTGACTTGAATGCAGACATCACAGAGCAGTTTCTGAGAATGCTTCTGTCTAGATTTTATAGGAAGATATTCCCGTTTCCAACGAAATCTTCACAGCTATCCAAATATCCACTTGCAGATTCTACAAAAAGAGTGTATCAAAACTGCTCTGTCAAAAGGAAGGTTCTTCTCTGTCAGTTGAGTACATACGTCATAAAGGAGTTTCTGAGAATGTTTCTCTCTAGTGGTTATGGGAAGATATTTCCTTTTTCCCCGTAGGCCTCAGGGCGCTCCAAATGTCCACTTACACATGCTACAAAAAGAGTGCTTCAAAGCTGCTCTCTGAAAGGGAATGTTCAACTCTATGAGTTGAATGCAAACATCACAAAGACGTTTCTGAGAATGCTTCTTTCTAGATTTGATATGAAGATATTCCCGTTTCCAACGAAATCTTCAAATCTATCCAAATGTCCACTTGCAGATTCAACAAAAAGTGTTTTTCAGAACTGCTCTATCAAAAGAAAGATCCACCTCTGTTAGCTGAGTTCACACATCACAAACAAGTTTATGAGAATGCTTCTGTCTAGTTTTTATTTGAAGATATTTCCTTTCTCACCATAGACCTGAAAGCTGTCCTAATGTTCACTTCCAGATACTACAGAAAGAGTGTTTCAAAACTGCTGTACGAAAAGGAATGTTCAACTCTGTGACTTGAATGCACACATCACAAAGAAGTTTCGGAGGATGCTGCTGTCTACTTTTTATACGTAATCCCGTTTCCAACGAAATCCTCCAAGCTATCCAAATATCCACTTGCAGATTCCACAGAAAGACTGTTTCAAAACTGCTCTGTCAATAGAAAGGTTCAACTCTGTTAGCTGAGTGCATATATCCCAAAGAAGATTCTGAGATTGCTTCTCTCTAGTTTTAATGGGAAGATATTTCCCTTTTCACCGTAGGCGTCAAGGCGCTCCAAATGTCCACTTCCAGATACTACAAAAAGAGTGTTTCAAACCTACTCTGTGAAAGGGAATATTCAACTCTGTGACTTGAATGCAGATATCACAAAGAAGTTTCTGAGAATGCTTCTGTCGAGATTTTATATGAAGATATTCCCGTTTCCAACGAAATGCTGAAATGTATCCAAATATCCCCTCGCAGATTCTACAAAAAGAGTGTTTCAAAACTGCTCTGTAAAAAGAAAGGTTCAACTCTGTTAGTTGAGTACACACATCACAAACTAGTTTCACAGAATGCTTCTTTCTATCTTGTAGGGGAAGATATTCCCTTTATCAGCATGGGCCTCAAACCGTCCGAAACGTCCACTTCCATATACTACAAAAAGAGCGTTTCAAACCTGTTCTAGGAAAGGCAATGTTCAACTCTGTGACTTGAATGCAGACATCACAGAGCAGTTTCTGAGAATGCTTCTGTCTAGATTTTATAGGAAGATATTCCCGTTTCCAACGAAATCTTCACAGCTATCCAAATATCCACTTGCAGATTCTACAAAAAAAGTGTATCAAAACTGCTCTGTCACAAGGAAGGTTCTTCTCTGTTAGGTGAGTGCATACGTCATAAAGGAGTTTCTGAGAATGTTTCTGTCTAGTGGTTACGGGAAGATATTTGCTTTTTCACCTTAGGCCTCACAGCGCTCCAAATATCCACTTGCACATACTACAAAAAGAGTGCTTCAAAGCTGCTCTCTGAAACGGAATGTTCAACTCTATGAGTTGAATGCAAACATCACAAAGACGTTTCTGAGAATGCTTCTGTCTAGATTTGATATGAAGATATTCCCGTTTCCAACGAAATCTTCAAATCTATCCTAATGTCCACTTGCAGATTCAACAAAAAGTGTTTTTCAGAACTGCTGTATCAAAAGAAAGATCCACCTCTGTTAGCTGAGTTCACACATCACAAACAAGTTTATGAGAATGCTTCTGTCTAGTTTTTATTTGAAGATATTTCCTTTCTCACCATAGACCTGAAAGCTGTCCTAATGTTCACTTCCAGATACTACAGAAAGAGTGTTTCAAAACTGCTGTACGGAAGGGAATGTTCAACTCTGTGACTTGAATGCACACATCACAAAGAAGTTCCTGAGGATGCTGCTGTCTACTTTTTATACCGTAATCCCGTTTCCAACGAAATCCTCCAAGCTATCCAAATATCCACTTGCAGATTCCACAGAAAGACTGTTTCAAAACTGCTATGTCAATAGAAAAGTTCAACTCTGTTAGCTGTGTGCATATATCCCAAAGAAAATTCTGAGATTGCTTCTGTCTAGTTTTTATGGGAAGATATTTCCCTTTTCACCGTAGACGTCAAGGCACTCCAAATGTCCACTTCCAGATACTACAAAAAGAGTGTTTAAAACCTACTCTGTGAAAGGGAATATGCAACTCTGTGACTTGAATGCAGATATCACAAAGATGTTTCTGAGAATGCTTCTGTCGAGATTTTATATGAAGATATTCCCGTTTCCAACGAAATCCTGAAATCTCTCCAAATATCCCCTCGCAGATTCTACAAAAAGAGTGTTTCAAAACTGCTCTGTAAAAAGAAAGGTTCAACTCTGTTAGTTCAGTACACACATCACAAACAAGTTTCACAGAATGCTTCTTTCTAGCTTGTAGGGGAAGATATTCCCTTTATCACCATGGGCCTCAAACCTTCCGAAATGTCCACTTCCATATACTACAAAAAGAGTGTTTCAAACCTGCTCTATGAAAGGCAATGTTCAACTCTGTGACTTGAATGCAGACATCACAGAGCAGTTTCTGAGAATGCTTCTGTCTAGATTTTATAGGAAGATATTCCCGTTTCCAACGAAATCTTCACAGCTATCCAAATATCCACTTGCAGATTCTACAAAAAGAGTGTATCAAAACTGCTCTGTCAAAAGGAAGGTTCTTTTCTGTTAGGTGAGTGCCATACGTCATAAAGGAGTTTCTGAGAATGTTTCTGTCTAGTGGTTATGGGAAGATATTTGCTTTTTCAGCGTAGGCCTCAGAGCGCTCCAAATATCCACTTGCACATACTTCAAAAAGAGTGTTTCAAAGCTGCTCTCTGAAAGGGAATGTTCAACTCTATGAGTTGAATGCAAACATGACAAAGACGTTTCTGAGAATGCTTCTGTCTAGATTTGATATGAAGATATTCCCGTTTCCAATGAAATCTTCAAATCTATCCAAATGTCCACTTGCAGATTCAACAAGAAGTGTTTTTCAGAACTGCTCTATCAAAAGAAAGATCCACCTCTGTTAGCTGAGTTCACACATCACAAACAAGTTTATGAGAATGCTTCTGTCTAGTTTTTATTTGAAGATATATCCTTTCTCACTATAGACCTGAAAGCTGTCCTAAAGTTCACTTCCAGATACTACAGAAAGAGTGTTTCAAAACTGCTGTACGATAGGGAATGTTCAACTCTGTGACTTGAATGCACACATCACAAGGATGTTTCTGAGGATGCTGCTGTCTACTTTTTACACGTAATCCCGTTTCCAAAGAAATCCTCCAAGCTATCCAAATATCCACTTGCAGATTCCACAGAAAGACTGTTTCAAAACTGCTCTGTCAATAGAAAGGTTCAACTCTGTTAGCTGCGTGCATATATCCCAAAGAAGATTCTGAGATTGCTTCTGTCTAGTTTTTATGGGAAGATATTTCCCTTTTCACCGTAGGTGTCAAGGCGCTCCAAATGTCCACTTCCAGATACAAAACTGCTGTACGAAAGGGAATGTTCAACTCTGTGACTAGAATGCAGAAACTTCACAAAGAAGTTTCTGAGGATGCTGCTGTCTAATTTTTATACGTAATCCCGTTTCCAACGAAATCCTCCAAGCTATCAAAATATCTACTTGCAGATTCCACAGAAAGACTGTTTCAAAACTGCTATGTCAATAGAAAAGTTCAACTCTGTTAGCTGTGTGCGTATATCCCAAAGAAAATTCTGAGATTGCTTCTTTCTAGCTTGTAGGGGAAGATATTCCCTTTATCACCATGGGCCTCAAACCGTCCGAAACGTCCACTTCCATTTACTACAAAAAGAGTGTTTCAAACCTGCTCTATGAAAGGCAATGTTCAACTCTGTGAGTTGAATGCAGACATCACAGAGCAGTTTCTGAGAATGCTTCTGTCTAGATTTTATAGGAAGATATTCCCGTTTCCAACGAAATCTTCACAGCTATCCAAATATCCACTTTCAGATTCTACAAAAAGAGTGTATCAAACTGCTCAGTCAAAAGGAAGGTTCTTCTCTGTTAGGTGAGTGCATACGTCATAAAGGAGTTTCTGAGAATGTTTCTGTCTAGTGGTTATGGGAAGATATTTGCTTTTTCACCGTAGGCCTCAGAGCGCTCCAAATGTCCACTTGCACATACTACAAAAAGATTGCTTCAAACCTGCTCTCTGAAACGGAATGTTCAACTCTATGAGTTGAATGCAAACATCACAAAGACGTTTCTGAGAATGCTTCTGTCTAGATTTGATATGAAGATATTCCCGTTACCAACGAAATCTGCAAATCTATCCAAATGTCCACTTGCAGATTCTACAAAAAGTGTTTTTCAGAACTGCTCTATCAAAAGAAAGATCCACCTCTGTTAGCTGAGTTCACACATCACAAACAAGTTTATGAGAATGCTTCTGTGTAGTTTTTATTTGAAGATATTTCCTTTCTCACCATAGACCTGAAAGCTGTCCTAATGTTCACTTCCAGATACTACAGAAAGAGTGTTTTAAAACTGCTGTACGAAAGGGAATGTTCAACTCTGTGACTTGAATGCACACATCACAAAGAAGTTTCTGAGGATGCTGCTGTCTACTTTTTATACGTAATCCCGTTTCCAACGAAATCCTCCAAGCTATCCAAATATCCACTTGCAGATTTCACAAAAAGACTGTTTCAATACTGCTCTGTCAATAGAAAGGTTCAACTCTGTTAGCTGCGTGCATATATCCCAAAGAAGATTCTGAGATTGCTTCTGTCTAGTTTTTATGGGAAGATATTTCCCTTTTCACCATAGGCGTCAAGGCGCTCCAAATGTCCACTTCCAGATACTACAAAAAGAGTGTTTCAAACCTACTCTGTGAAAGGGAATATTCAACTCTGTGACTTGAATGCAGATATCACAAAGAAGTTTCTGAGAATGCTTCTGTCGAGATTTTATATGAAGATATTCCCGTTTCCAACAAAATCCTGAAATCTATCCAAATATCCCCTCGCAGATTCTACAAAAAGAGTGTTTCAAAACTGCTCTGTAAAAAGAAAGGTTCAACTCTGTTAGTTGAGTACACACATCAGAAACAAGTTTCACAGAATGCTTCTTTCTAGCTTGTAGGGGAAGATATTCCCTTTATCACCATGGGCCTCAAACCGTCCGAAACGTCCACTTCCATATACTACAAAAAGAACGCTTCAAACCTGCTCTATGAAAGACAATGTTCAACTCTGTGACTTGAATGCAGACATCACAGAGCAGTTTGCTGAGAATGCTTCTGTCTAGATTTTATAGGAAGATATTCCCGTTTCCAACGAAATCTTCACAGCTATCCAAATATCCACTTGCAGATTCAACAAAAAGAGTGTATCAAAACTGCTCTGTCAAAAGGAAGGTTCTTCTCTGTTAGGTGAGTGCATACGTCATAAAGGAGTTTCTGAGAATGTTTCTGTCTAGTGGTTATGGGAAGATATTTGCTTTTTCACCGTAGGCCACAGAGCGCTCCAAATATCCACTTGCACATACTACAAAAAGAGTGCTTCAAAGCTGGTCTCTGAAACGGAATGTTCAACTCTATGAGTTGAATGCAAACATCACAAAGACGTTTCTGAGAATGCTTCTGTCTAGATTTGATATGAAGATATTCCCGTTTCCAACGAAATCTTCAAATCTATCCAAATGTGCACTTGCAGATTCAACAAAAAGTGTTTTTCAGAACTGCTCCATCAAAAGAAAGATCCACCTCTGTTAGCTGAGTTCACACATCACAAACAAGTTTATGAGAATGCTTCTGTCTAGTTTTTATTTGAAGATATTTCCTTTCTCACCATAGACCTGAAAGCTGTCCTAATGTTCACTTCCAGTTACTACAGAAAGAGTGTTTCAAAACTGCTGTACGAAAGGGAAGTTCAACTCTGTGACTTGAATGCACACATCACAAAGAAGTTTCTGAGGATGCTGCTGTCTACTTTTTATACGTAATCCCGTTTCCAACGAAATCCTCCAAGCTATCCAAATATCCAATTGCAGATTCCACAGAAAGACTGTTTCAAAACTGCTCTGTCAATAGAAAGGTTCAACTCTGTTAGCTGCGTGCATATATCCCAAAGAAGATTCTGAGATTTCTGCTGTCTAGTTTTTATGGGAAGATATTTCCCTTTTCACCGTAGGCGTCAAGGCGCTCCAAATATCCACTTCCAGATACCTCAAAAAGAGTGTTTCAAACCTACTCTGTGAAAGGGAATATTCAACTCTGTGACTTGAATGCACATATCACAAAGAAGTTTCTGAGAATGCTTCTGTCGAGATTTTATATGAAGATATTCCCGTTTCCAACGAAATGCTGAAATCTATCCAAATATCCCCTCGCAGATTCTACAAAAAGAGTGTTTCAAAACTGCTCTGTGAAAAGAAAGGTTCAATTCTGTTAGTTGAGTACACACATCACAAACAAGTTTCACAGAATGCTTCTTTCTAGCTTGTAGGGGAAGATATTCCCTTTATCACCATGGGCCTCAGACCGTCCGAAACGTCCACTTCCATATACTACAAAAAGAGCGTTTCAAACCTGCTCTATGAAAGGCAATGTTCAACTCTGTGACTTGAATGCAGACATCACAGAGCAGTTTCTGAGAATGCTTCCGTCTAGATTTTATAGGAAGATATTCCCGTTTCAAACGAAATCTTCACAGCTATCCAAATATCCACTTGCAGATTCTACAAAAAGAGTGTATCAAAACTGCTCTGTCAAAAGGAAGGTTCTTCTCTGTTAGTTGAGTACATACGTCATAAAGGAGTTTCTGAGAATGTTTCTGTCTAGTGGTTATGGGAAGATATTTGCTTTTTCACCGTAGGCCTCAGAGCGCTCCAAATATCCACTTGCACAAACTACAAAAAGAGTGCCTCAAAGCTGCTCTCTGAAACGGAATGTTCAACTCTATGAGTTGAATGCAAACATCACAAAGACGTTTCTGAGAATGCTTCTGTCTAGATTTGATATGAAGATATTCTCGTTTCCAACGAAATCTTCAAATCTATCCAAATGTCCACTTGCAGATTCAACAAAAAGTGTTTTTCAGAACTGCTCTATCAAAAGAAAGATCCACCTCTGTTAGCTGAGTTCACACATCACAAACAAGTTTATGAGAATGCTTCTGTCTAGTTTTTATTTGAAGATATTTCCTTTCTCACCATAGACCTGAAAGCTGTCCTAATGTTCACTTCCAGATACTACAGAAAGAGTGTTTCAAAACTGCTGTACGAAAGGGAATGTTCAACTCTGTTACTTGAATGCACACATCACAAAGAAGTTTCTGAGGATGCTGCTGTCTACTTTTTATACGTAATCCCGTTTCCAACGAAATCCTCCAAGCTATGCAAATATCCACTTGCAGATTCCACAGAAAGACTGTTTCAAAACTGCTCTGTCAATAGAAAGGTTCAACTCTGTTAGCTGCGTGCATATATCCCAAAGAAGATTCTGAGATTGCTTGTGTCTACTTTTTATGAGAAGATATTTCCCTTTTCACCGTAGGCGTCAAGGCGCTCCAAATGTCCACTTCCAGATACTACAAAAAGAGTGTTTCAAACCTACTCTGTGAAACGGAATATTCAACTCTGTGACTTGAATGCAGATATCACAAAGAAGTTTCTGAGAATGCTTCTGTCTAGATTTTATAGGAAGATATTCCCGTTTCCAACGAAATCTTCACAGCTATCCAAATATCCACTTGCAGATTCTACAAAAAGAGTGTATCAAAACTGCTCTGTCAAAAGGAAGGTTGTTCTCTGTTAGGTGAGTGCATACGTCATAAAGGAGTTTCTGAGAATGTTTCTGTCTAGTGGTTATGGGAAGATATTTGCTTTTTCACCGTAGGCCTCAGAGCTCTCCAAATATCCACTTGCACATACTACAAAAAGTGTGCCTCAAAGCTGCTCTCTGAAACGGAATGTTCAACTCTATGAGTTGAATGCAAACATCACAAAGACGTTTCTGAGAATGCTTCTGTATAGATTTGATATGAAGATATTCCCGTTTCCAACGAAATCTTCAAATCTATCTAAATGTCCACTTGCAGATTCAACAAAAAGTGTTTTTCAGAACTGCTCTATCAAAAGAAAGATCCACCTCTGTTAGCTGAGTTCACACATCACAAACAAGTTTATGAAAATGCTTCTGTCTAGTTTTTATTTGAAGATATTTCCTTTCTCACCATAGACCTGAAAGCTGTCCTAATGTTCACTTCCAGTTACTACAGAAAGAGTGTTTCAAAACTGCTGTACGAAAGGGAATGTTGAACTCTGTGACTTGAATGCACACATCACAAAGAAGTTTCTGAGGATGCTGCTGTCTACTTTTTATACGTAATCCCGTTTCCAACGAAATCCTCCAAGCTATCCAAATATCCACTTGCAGATTCCACAGAAAGACTGTTTCAAAACTGCTCTGTCAATAGAAAGGTTCAACTCTGTTAGCTGCGTGCACATATCCCAAAGAAGATTCTGAGATTGCTTCTGTCTACTTTTTATGAGAAGATATTTCCCTTTTCACCGTAGGCGTCAAGGCGCTCTAAATGTCCACTTCCAGATACTACAAAAAGAGTGTTTCAAACCTACTCTGTGAAAGGGAATATTCAACTCTGTGACTTGAATGCACATATCACAAAGAAGCTTCTGAGAATGCTTCTGTCGAGATTTTATATGAAGATATTCCCGTTTCCAACGAAATCCTGAAATGTATCCAAATATCCCCTCGCAGATTCTACAAAAAGAGTGTTTCAAAACTGCTCTGTAAAAAGAAAGGTTCAACTCTGTTAGTTGAGTACACACATCACAAACAACTTTCACACAATGCTTCTTTCTAGCTTGTAGGGGAAGATATTCCCTTTATCACCATGGGCCTCAAACCGTCCGATAAGTCCACTTCCATATACTACAAAAAGAGCATTTCAAACCTGCTCTATGAAAGGCAATGTTCAACTCTGTGACTTGAATGCAGACATCACAGAGCAGTTTCTGAGAATGCTTCTGTCTAGATTTTGTAGGAAGATATTCCCGATTCCATCGAAATCTTCACAGCTATCCAAATATCCACTTGCAGATTCTACAAAAAGAGTGTATCAAAACTGCTCTGTCAAAAGGAAGGTTCTTCTCTGTTAGGTGAGTGCATACGTCATAAAGGAGTTTCTGAGAATGTTTCTGTCTAGTGGTTATGGGAAGATATTTGCTTTTTCACCGTAGGCCTCACAGCGCTCTAAATATCCACTTGCACATACTACAAAAAGAGTGCTTAAAAGGTGCTCTCTGAAGCTGAATGTTCAACTCTATGAGTTGAATGCAAACATCACAAAGACGTTTCTGAGAATGCTTCTGTCTAGATTTGATATGAAGATATTCCCGTTTCCAACGAAATCTTCAAATCTATCCAAATGTCCACTTGCAGATTCAACAAAAAGTGTTTTTCACAACTGCTCTATCAAAAGAAAGATCCACCTCTGTTAGCTGAGTTCACACATCACAAACAAGTTTATGAGAATGCTTCTGTCTAGTTTTTATTTGAAGATATTTCCTTTCTCACCATAGACCTGAAAGCTGTCCTAATGTTCACTTCCAGATACTACAGAAAGAGTGTTTCAAAACTGCTGTATGAAAGGGAATGTTCAACTACTGTGACTTGAATGCAGACATCACAGAGCAGTTTCTGAGAATGCTGCTGTCTACTTTTTATACGTAATCCCGTTTCCAACGAAATCCTCCAAGCTATCCAAATATCCACTTGCAGATTCCACAGAAAGACTATTTCAAAACTACTCTGTCCATAGAAAGGTTCAACTCTGTTAGCTGCGTGCATATATCCCAAAGAAGATTCTGAGATTGCTTCTGTCTAGTTTTTATGGGAAGATATTTCCCTTTTCACCGTAGGCGTCAAGGCACTCCAAATGTCCACTTCCAGATACTACAAAAAGAGTGTTTCAAACCTACTCTGCGAAAGGGAATATTCAACTCTGTGACTTGAATGCACATATCACAAAGAAGTTTCTGAGAATGCTTCTGTCGAGATTTTATATGAAGATATTCCCGTTTCCAACGAAATCCTGAAATGTATCCAAATATCCACTCGCAGATTCTACAAAAAGAGTGTTTCAAAACTGCTCTGTAAAAAGAAAGGTTCAACTCTGTTAGTTGAGTACACACATCACAAACAAGTTTCACAGAATGCTTCTTTCTAGCTTGTAGGGGAAGATATTCCCTTTATCACCATGGGCCTCAAACCGTCCGAAACGTCCACTTGCATATACTACAAAAAGAGTGTTTCAAACCTGCTCTATGAAAGGCAATGTTCAACTCTGTGACTTGAATGCAGACATCACAGAGCAGTTTCTGAGAATGCTTCTGTCTAGATTTTATAGGAAGATATTCCCGTTTCCAACGAAATCTTCACAGCTATCCAAATATCCACTTGCAGATTCTACAAAAAGAGTGTATCAAAACTGCTCTGTCAAAAGGAAAGTTCTTCTCTGTTAGGTGAGTGCACACGTCATAAAGGAGTTTCTGAGAATGTTTCTGTCTAGTGGTTACGGGAAGATATTTGCTTTTTCACCTTAGGCCTCACAGCGCTCCAAATATCCACTTTCACATACTACAAAAAGAGTGCTTCAAAGCTGCTCTCTGAAACGGAATGTTCAACTCTATGAGTTGAATGCAAACATCACAAAGACGTTTCTGAGAATGCTTCTGTCTAGATTTGATATGGAGATATTCCCGTTTCCAACGAAATCTTCAAATCTATCCAAATGTCCACTTGCAGATTCAACAAAAAGTGTTTTTCAGAACTGCTCTATCAAAAGAAAGATCCACCTCTGTTAGCTGAGTTCACACATCACAAACAAGTTTATGAGAATGCTTCTGTCTAGTTTTTATTTGAAGATATTTCCTTTCTCACCATAGACCTGAAAGCTGTCCTAATGTTCACTTCCAGATACCACAGAAAGAGTGTTTAAAAACTGCTGTACGAAAGGGAATGTTCAACTCTGTGACTTGAATGCACACATCACAAAGAAGGTTCTGAGGATGTTGCTGTCTACTTTTTATACGTAATCCCGTTTCCAGCGAAATCCTCCAAGCTATCCAAATATCCACTTGCAGATTCCACAGAAAGACTGTTTCAAAACTGCTCTGTCAATAGAAAGGTTCAACTCTGTTAGCTGCGTGCATATATCCCAAAGAAGATTCTGAGATTGCTTCTGTCTAGTTTTTATGGGAAGATATTTCCCTTTTCACCGTAGGTGTCAACGCGCTCCAAATGTCCACTTCCAGATACTACAAAAAGAGTGTTTCAAACCTACTCTGTGAAAGGGAATATTCAACTCTGTGACTTGAATGCACATATCACAAAGAAGTTTCTGAGAATGCTTCTGTCGAGATTTTATATGAAGATATTCCCGTTTCCAACAAAATCCTGAAATGTATCCAAATATCCCCTCGCAGATTCTACAAAAAGAGTGTTTCAAAACTGCTCTGTAAAAAGAAAGGTTCAACTCTGTTAGTTGAGTACACACATCACAAACAAGTTTCACAGAATGCTTCTTTCTAGCTTGTAGTGGAAGATATTCCCTTTATCACCATGGGCCTCAAACCGTCTGAAACGTCCACTTCCATATACTACAAAAAGAGCATTTCCAACCTGCTCTATGAAAGGCAATGTTCAACTCTGTGACTTGAATGCAGACATCACAGAGCAGTTTCTGAGAATGCTTCTGTCTAGATTTTATAGGAAGATATTCCCGTTTCCAACGAAATCTTCACAGCTATCCAAATATCCACTTGCAGATTCTACAAAAAGAGTGTGTCAAAACTGCTCTGTCAAAAGGAAGGTTCTTCTCTGTTAGGTGAGTGCATACGTCATAAAGCAGTTTCTGAGAATGTTTCTGTCTAGTGGTTATGGGAAGATATTTGCTTTTTCACCGTAGGCCTCAGAGCGCTCCAAATATCCACTTGCACATACTACAAAAAGAGTGCCTCATACTGCTCTCTGAAACGGAATGTTCAACTCTATGAGTTGAATGCAAACATCGCAAAGACGTTTCTGAGAATGCTTCTGTCTAGATTTGATATGAAGATATTCCCGTTTCCAGCGAAATCTTCAAATCTATCGAAATGTCCACTTGCAGATTCAACAAAAAGTGTTTTTCAGAACTGCTCTATCAAAAGAAAGATCCACCTCTGTTAGCTGAGTTCACACATCACAAACAAGTTTATGAGAATGCTTCTGTCTAGTTTTTATTTGAAGATATATCCTTTCTCACTATAGACCTGAAAGCTCTCCTAAAGTTCACTTCCAGATACTACAGAAAGAGTGTTTCAAAACTGCTGTACGAAAGGGAATATTCAACTCTGTGACTTGAATGCACACATCACAAGGAAGTTTCTCAGGATGCTGCTGTCCACTTTTTATACGTAATCCCGTTTCCAACGAAATCCTCCAATCTATCCAAATATCCACTTGCAGATTCCACAGAAAGACTGTTTCAAAACTGCTCTGTCAATAGAAAGGTTCAACTCTGTTAGCTGCGTGCATATATCCCAAAGAAGATTCTGAGATTGCTTCTGTCTAGTTTTTATGGGAAGATATTTCCCTTTTCACCGTAGGTGACAAGGCGCTCCAAATGTCCACTTCCAGATACTACAAAAAGAGTGTTTCAAACCTACTCTGTGAAAGGGAATATTCAACTCTGTGACTTAAAGGCAGATATCACAAAGAAGTTTCTGAGAATGCTTCTGTCGAGATTTTATATGAAGATATTCCCGTTTCCAACGAAATCCTGAAATCTATCCAAATATCCCCTCGCAGATTTTATAAAAAGAGTGTTTCAAAACAGCTCTGTGAAAAGAAAGGTTCAACTCTGTTAGTTGAGTACACACATCACAAAGAAGTTTCACAGAATGCTTCTTTCTAGCTTGTAGGGGAAGATATTCCCTTTATCACCATGGGCCTCCAACCGTCCGATAAGTCCACTTCCATATCCTACAAAAAGAGCGTTTCAAACCTGCTCTATGAAAGGCAATGTTCAACTCTGTGACTTGAATGCAGACATCACAGAGCAGTTTCTGAGAATGCTTCTGTCTAGATTTTATAGGAAGATATTCCCGTTTCCAAAGAAATCTTCACAGCTATCCAAATATCCACTTGCAGATGCTACAAAAAGAGTGTATCAAAAATGCTCTGTCAAAAGGAAGGTTATTCTCTGTTAGGTGAGGGCATACGTCATAAAGGAGTTTCTGAGAATGTTTCTGTCTAGTGGTTATGGGAAGATATTTGCTTTTTCACCGTAGGCCACAGAGCGATCAAAACATCCACTTGCACATACTACAAAAAGAGTGCTTCAAAGCTGCTCTCTGAAAGTGAATGTTCAACTCTATGAGTTGAATGCAAACATCACAAAGAAGTTTCTGAGAATGCTTCTGTCTAGATTTGATATAAAGATATTCCCGTTTCCAATGAAATCTTCAAATCTATCCAAATGTCCACTTGCAGATCCAACAAAAAGTGTTTTTCAGAACTGCTCTATCAAAAGAAAGATCCACCTCTGTTAGCTGAGTTCACACATCACAAACAAGTTTATGAGAATGCTTCTGTCTAGCTTTTATTTGAAGATATATCCTTTCTCACTATAGACCTGAAAGCTCTCCTAAAGTTCACTTCCAGATACTACAGAAAGAGTGTTTCAAAACTGCTGTACGAAAGGGAATGTTCAACTCTGTGACTTGAATGCACACATCACAAAGAAGTTTCTGAGGATGCTGCTGTCTACTTTTTATACGTAATCCCGTTTCCAACGAAATCCTCCAAGCTATCCAAATATCCACTTGCAGATTCCACAGAAAGACTGTTTCAAAACTGCTCTGTCAATAGAAAGGTTCAACTCTGTTAGCTGCGTGCATATATCCCAAAACAGATTCTGAGATTGCTTCTGTCTACTTTTTATGAGAAGATATTTCCCTTTTCACCGTAGGCGTCAAGGCACTCCCAATGTCCACTTCCAGATACTACAAAAAGAGTGTTTCAAACCTACTCTGTGAAAGGGAATATTCAACTCTGTGACTTGAATGCACATATCACAAAGAAGCTTCTGAGAATGCTTCTGTCGAGATTTTATATGAAGATATTCCCATTTCCAACGAAATCCTGAAATCTATCCAAATATGCCCTCGCAGATTCTACAAAAAGAGTGTTTCAAAACTGCTCTGTAAAAAGAAAGGTTCAACTCTGTTAGTTGAGTACACACATCACAAACAAGTTTCACAGAATGCTTCTTTCTAGCTTGTAGGGGAAGATATTTCCTTTATCACCATGGGCCTCAAACCGTCCGAAACGTCCACTTCCATATACTAAAAAAAGAGTGCTTGAAACCTGCTCTATGAAAGGCAATGTTCAACTCTGTGACTTGAATGCAGACATCACAGTAGCAGTTTCTGAGAATGCTTCTGTCTAGATTTTATAGGAATATATTCCCGTTTCCAACGAAATCTTCACAGCTATCCAAATATCCACTTGCAGATTCTACAAAAAGAGTGTATCAAAACTGCTCTGTCAAAAGGAAGGTTCTTTTCTGTTAGGTGAGTGCATACGTCATAAAGGAGTTTCTGAGAATGTTTCTGTCTAGTGGTTATGGGAAGATATTTGCTTTTTCACCGTAGGCCTCAGAGCGCTCCAAATATCCACTTGCACATACTACAAAAAGAGTGCCTCAAAGCTGCTTTCTGAAACGGAATGTTCAACTCTATGAGTTGAATGCAAACAACGCAAAGACGTTTCTGAGAATGCTTCTGTCTAGATTTGATATGAAGATATTCCCGTTTCCAATGAAATCTTCAAATCTATCCAAATGTCCACTTGCAGATTCAACAAAAAGTGTTTTTCAAAACTGCTGTATCAAAAGAAAGATCCACCTCTGTTAGCTGAGTTCACACATCACAAACAAGTTTATGAGAATGCTTCTGTCTAGTTTTTATTTGAAGATGTTTCCTTTCTCACCATAGACCTGAAAGCTGTCCTAATGTTCACTTCCAGATACTACAGAAAGAGTGTTTCAAAACTGCTGTACGAAAGGGAATGTTCAACTCTGTGACTTGAATGCACACATCACAAAGGAGTTTCTGAGGATGCTGCTGTCTACTTTTTATATGTAATCCCGTTTCCAACGAAATCCTCCAAGCTATCCAAATATCCACTTGCAGATTCCACAGAAAGACTGTTTCAAAACTGCTCTGTCAATAGAAAGGTTCAACTCTGTTAGCTGCGTGCATATATCCCAAAGAAGATTCTGAGATTGCTTCTGTCTAGTTTTTATGGGAAGATATTTCCCTTTTCACCGTAGGTGTCAAGGCGCTCCAAATGTCCACTTAAAGATACTACAAAAAGAGTGTTTCAAACCTACTCTGTGAAAGGGAATATTCAACTCTGTGACTTGAATGCAGATATCACAAAGAAGTTTCTGAGAATGCTTCTGTCGAGATTTTATATGAAGATATTCCCGTTTCCAAGGAAATCCTGAAATCTATCCAAATATCCCCTCGCAGATTCTACAGAAAGAGTGGTTCAACACTGCTCTGTAAAACGAAAGGTTCAACTCTGTTAGTTGAGTACACACATCACAAACAAGTTTCACAGAATGCTTCTTTCTAGCTTGTAGGGGAAGATATTCCCTTTATCACCATGGGCCTCAAACCGTCCGAAACGTCCACTTCCATATACTACAAAAAGAGTGTTTCAAACCTGCTCTATGAAAGGCAATGTTCAGCTCTGTGACTTGAATGCAGACATCACAGAGCAGTTTCTGAGAATGCTTCTGTCTAGAGTTTATAGGAAGATATTCCCGTTTCCAACGAAATCTTCACAGCTATCCAAATATCCACTTGCAGATTCTACAAAAAGAGTGTATCAAAACTGCTCTGTCAAAAGGAAGGTTCTTTTCTGTTAGGTGAGTGCATACGTCATAAAGGAGTTTCTGAGAATGTTTCTGTCTAGTGGTTATGGGAAGATATTTGCTTTTTCACCGTAGGCCTCAGAGCGCTCCAAATATCCCCTTGCACATACTACAAAAAGAGTGCTTCAAAGCTGCTCTCTGAAAGGGAATCTTCAACTCTATGAGTTGAATGCCAACATCACAAAGACGTTTCTGAGAATGCTTCTGTCTAGATTTGATATGAAGATATTCCCGTTTCCAACGAAATCTTCAAATCTATCCAAATGTCCACTTGCAGATTCAACAAAGTGTTTTTCAGAACTGCTCTATCAAAAGAAAGATCCACCTCTGTTAGCTGAGATCACTCTTCACAAACAAGTTTATCAGAATGCTTCTGTCTAGTTTTTATTTGAAGATATTTCCTTTCTCACCATAGACCTGAAAGCTGTCCTAATGTTCACTTCCAGATACTACAGAAAGAGTGTTTCAAAACTGCTGTACTAAAGGGAATGTTCAACTCTGTGACTTGAATGCACACATCACAAAGAAGTTTCTGAGGATGCTGCTGTCTACTTTTTATACGTAATCCCGTTTCCAACGAAATCCTCCAAGCTATCCAAATATCCACTTGCAGATTCCACAGAAACACTGTTTCAAAACTGTTCTGTCAATAGAAAGGTTCAACTATGTTAGCTGCGTGCATATATCCCAAAGAAGATTCTGAGATTGCTTCTCTGTCTAGTTTTTATGGGAAGATATTTCCCTTTTCACCGTAGGCGTCAAGGCCCTCCAAATGTCCACTTCCAGATACTACAAAAAGAGTGTTTCAAACCTACTCTGTGAAAGGGAATATTCAACTCTGTGACTTGAAGGCAGATATCACAAAGAAGTTTCTGAGAATGCTTCTGTCGAGATTTTATATGAAGATATTCCCGTTTCCAACGAAATCCTGAAATCTATCCAAATATCCCCTCGCAGATTCTACAAAAAGAGTGTTTCAAAACTGCTCTGTATAAAGAAAGGTTCAACACTGTTAGTTGAGTACACACATCACAAACAAGTTTCACAGAATGCTTCTTTCTAGCTTGTAGGGGAAGATATTCCCTTTATCACCATGGGCCTCAAACCGTCCGAAACGTCCACTTCCATATACTACAAAAAGAGCGTTTCAAACCTGCTCTAGGAAAGGCAATGTTGAACTCTGTGACTTGAATGCAGACATCACAGAGCAGTTTCTGAGAATGCTTCTGTCTAGATTTTATAGGAAGATATTCCCGTTTCCAACGAAATCTTCACAGCTATCCCAATATAAACTTGCAGATTCTACAAAAAGAGTGTATCAAAACTGCTCTGTCAAAAGGAAGGTTCTTCTCTGTTAGGTGAGTGCATACGTCATAAAGGAGTTTCTGAGAATGTTTCTGTCTAGTGGTTATGGGAAGATATTTGCTTTTTCCCCGTAGGCCTCAGGGCGCTCCAAATGTCCACTTGCACATGCTACAAAAAGAGTGCTTCAAAGCTACTCTCTGGAAGGGAATGTTCAACTACTATGAGTTGAATGCAAACATCACAAAGACCTTTCTGAGAATGCTTCTGTCTAGATTTGATTTGAAGATATTCACGTTTCCAACGAAATCTTCAAATCTATCCAAATGTCCACTTGCAGATTCAACAAAAAGTGTTTTTCAGAACTGCTCTATCAAAAGAAAGATCCACCTCTGTTAGCTGAGTTCAGACATCATAAACAAGTTTATGAGAATGCTTCTGTCTAGTTTTTATTTGAAGGTATTTCCTTTCTCACCCTAGACCTGAAAGCTGTCCTAATGTTCACTTCCAGATACTACAGAAAGAGTGTTTCAAAACTGCTGTACGAAAGGGAATGTTCAACTCTGGGACTTGAATGCATACATCACAAAGAAGTTTCTGAGGATGCTGCTGTCTACTTTTTATACGTAATCCTGTTTCCAACGAAATCCTCCAAGCTATCCAAATATCCACTTGCAGATTCCACAGAAAGACTGTTTCAAAACTGCTCTGTCAATAGAAAGGTTCAACTCTGTTAGCTGCGTGCATGTATCCCAAAGAGGATTCTGAGATTGCTTCTGTCTAGTTTTTATGGGAAGATATTTCCCTTTTCACCGTAGGCGTCAAGGCGCTCCAAATGTCCACTTCCAGATACTACAAAAAGAGTGTTTCAAACCTACTCTGTGAAAGGGAATATTCAACTCTGTGACTTGAATGCACATATCACAAAGAAGTTTCTGAGAATGATTCTGTCGAGATTTTATATGAAGATATTCCCGTTTCCAACGAAATCCTGAAATCTATCCAAATATCCCCTCGCACATTCTACAAAAAGAGTGTTTCAAAACTGCTCTGTAAAAAGAAAGGTTCAACTCTGTTAGTTGAGTACACACATCACAAACAAGTTTCACAGAATGCTTCTTTCTAGCTTGTAGGGGAAGATATTCCCTTTATCACCAAGGGCCTCAAACCGTCCGAAACGTCCACTTCCATATACTACAAAAAGAGCGTTTCAAACCTGCTCTAGGAAAGGCAATGTTCAACTCTGTGACTTGAATGCAGACATCACAGAGCAGTTTCTGAGAATGATTCTGTCTAGATTTTATAGGAAGATATTCCCGTTTCCAACGAAATCTTCACAGATATCCAAATATCCACTTGCAGATTCTACAAAAAGAGTGTATCAAAACTGCTCTGTCAAAAGGAAGGTTCTTCTCTGTTAGGTGAGTGCATACGTCATAAAGGAGTTTCTGAGAATGTTTCTGTCTAGTGGTTATGGGAAGATATTTGCTTTTTCACCGTAGGCCTCACAGCGCTCCAAATATCCCCTTGCACATACTACAAAAAGAGTGCTTCAAAGCTGCTCTCTGAAAGGGAATGTTCAACTCTATGAGTTGAATGCAAACATCACAAAGACGTTTCTGAGAATGCTTCTGTCTAGATTTGATATGAAGATATTCCTTTTTCCAAGGAAATCTTCAAAACTATCCAAATGTCCACTTGCAGATTCAACAAAAAGTGTTTTTCAGAACTGCTCTATCAAAAGAAAGATCCACCGTTGTTAGCTGAGTTCACACATCACAAACAAGTTTATGAGAATGCTTCTGTCTAGTTTTTATTTGAAGATATTTCCTTTCTCACCATAGACCTGAAAGCTGTCCTAATGTTCACTTCCAGATACTACAGAAAGAGTGTTTCAAAACTGCTCTGTAAAAAGAAAGGTTCAACTCTGTTAGTTGAGTACACACATCACAAACAAGTTTCACAGAATGCTGCTGTCTACTTTTTATACGTAATCCCGTTTCCAACGAAATCCTCCAAGCTATCCAAATATCCACTTGCAGATTCCACAGAAAGACTGTTTCAAAACTGCTCTGTCAATAGAAAGGTTCAACTCTGTTAGCTGCGTGCATATATCCCAAAGGAAGATTCTGAGATTGCTTCTGTCTACTTTTTATGGGAAAATATTTCCCTTTTCACCGTAGGTGTCAAGGCGCTCCAAATGTCCACTTCCAGATACTACAAAAAGAGTGTTTCAAACCTACTCTGTGAAAGGGAATATTCAACTCTGTGACTTGAATGCAGATATCACAAAGAAGTTTCTGAGAATGCTTCTGTCGAGATTTTATATGAAGATATTCCCGTTTCCAACGAAATCCTGAAATCTATCCAAATATCCCCTCGCAGATTCTACAAAAAGAGTGTTTCAAAACTGCTCTGTAAAAAGAAAGGTTCAACTCTGTTAGTGGAGTACACACATCACAAACAAGTTTCACACAATGCTTCTTTCTAGCTTGTAGGGGAAGATATTCCCTTTATCACCATGGGCCTCAAACCGTCCGAAACGTCCACTTCCATATACTTCAAAAAGAGCGTTTCAAACCTGCTCTATGAAAGGCAATGTTCAACTCTGTGACTTGAATGCAGACATCACAGAGCTGTTTCTGAGAATGCTTCTGTCTAGATTTTATAGGAAGATATTCCCGTTTCCAACGAAATCTTCACAGCTATCCAAATATCCACTTTCAGATTCTACAAAAAGAGTGTATGAAAAGTGCTCTGTCAAAAGGAAGGTTCTTCTCTGTTAGGTGAGTGCATACGTCATAAAGGAGTTTCTGAGAATGTTTCTGTCTAGTGGTTATGGGAAGATATTTGCTTTTTCAACGTAGGCCTCAGAGCGCTCCAAATATCCACTTGCACATACTACAAAAAGAGTGCTTCAAAGCTGCTCTCTGAAACGGAATGTTCAACTCTATGAGTTGAATGCAAACATCACAAAGACGTTTCTGAGAATGCTTCTGTCTAGATTTGATATGAAGATATTCCCGTTTCCAACGAAATCTTCAAATCTATCCAAATGTCCACTTGCAGATTCAACAAAAAGTTTTTTTCAGAACTGCTCTATCAAAAGAAAGATCCACCTCTGTTAGCTGAGTTCACACATCACAAACAAGTTTATGAGAATGCTTCTGTCTTGTTTTTATTTGAAGATATTTCCTTTCTCACCATAGACCTGAAAGCTGTCCTAATGTTCACTTCCAGATACTACAGAAAGAGTGTTTCAAAACTGCTGTACGAAAGGGAATGTTCAACACTGTGACTTGAATGCACACATCACAAAGAAGTTTGCTGAGGATGCTGCTGTCTACTTTTTATACGTAATCCCATTTCCAACGAAATCCTCCAAGCTATCCAAATATCCACTTGCAGATTCCACAGAAAGACTGTTTCAAAACTGCTATGTCAATAGAAAAGTTCAACTCTGTTAGCTGTGTGCATATATCCCAAAGATAATTCTGAGATTGCTTCTGTCTAGTTTTTATGGGAAGATATTTCCCTTTTCACCGTAGGCGTCAAGGCGCTCCAAATGTCCACTTCCAGATACTACAAAAAGATTGTTTCAAACCTACTCTGTGAAAGGGAATATTCAACTCTGTGACTTGAATGCACATATCACAAAGAAGTTTCTGAGAATGCTTCTGTCGAGATTTTATATGAAGATATTCCCCTTTCCAACGAAATCCTGAAATCTATCCAAATATCCCCTCGCAGATTCTACAAAAAGAGTGTTTCAAAACTGCTCTGTAAAAAGAAAAGTTCAACTCTGTTAGTTGAGTACACACATCACAAACAAGTTTCACAGAATGCTTCTTTCTAGCTTGTAGGGGAAGATATTTCCTTTATCTCCATGGGCATCAAGCCGTCCGAAACGTCCACTTCCATATATTACGAAAAGAGCGTTTCATACCTCCTCTGTGAAAGGCAATGTTCAACTCTCTGACTTGAATGCAGACATCACAGAGCAGTTTCTGAGAATGCTTCTGTTTAGATTTTATAGGAAGATATTCCCGTTTCCAACGAATTCTTCACTGATATCCAAATATCCACTTGCAGAGTCTACAAAAAGAGTGTATCAATACTGCTCTGTAAAAAGGAAGGTTCTTCTCTGTTAGTTGAGTACATACGTCATAAAGAAGTTTCTGAGAATGTTTCTGTCTAGTGGTTATGGGAAGATATTTGCTTTTTCACCTTAGGCCTCAGAGCGCTCCAAATATCCACTTGCACATACTACAAAAAGAGTGCTTCAAAGCTGCTCTCTGAAAGGGAATGTTCAACTCTATGAGTTGAATGCAAACATCACAAGGACGTTTCTGACAATGCTCTGTCTAGATTTGATATGAAGATATTCCCGTTTCCAACGAAATCTTCATATCTATCCAAATGTCCACTTGCAGATTCAACAAAAAGTGTTTTTCAAAACTGCTGTATCAAAAGAAAGATCCACGTCTGTTAGCTGAGTTCACACATCACAAACAAGTTTATGAGAATGCTTTCTGTCTAGTTTCTATTTGAAGATATTTCCTTTCTCACCATAGACCTGAAAGCTGTCCTAATGTTCACTTCCAGATACTACAGAAAGAGTGTTTCAAAACTGCTGTACGAAAGGGAACGTTCAACTCTGTGACTTGAATGCACACATCACAAAGAAGTTTCTGAGGATGCTGCTGTCTACTTTTTATACTTAATCCCGTTTCCAACGAAATCCTCCAAGCTATCCAAATATCCACTTGCAGATTCCACAGAAAGACTGTTTCAAAACCGCTCTGTCAATAGAAAGGTTCAACTCTGTTAGCTGCGTGCATATATCCCAAAGAAGATTCTGAGATTCCTTCTGTCTAGTTTTTATGGGAAGATATTTCCCTTTTCACCGTAGGCATCAAGGCGCTCCAAATGTCCACTTCCAGATACTACAAAAAGAGTGTTTGAAACCTACTCTGTGAAAGGGAATATTCAACTATGTGACTTGAATGCAGATATCCCAAAGAAGTTTCTGAGAATGCTTCTGTCGAGATTTTATATGAGGATATTCCCGTTTCCAACGAAATCCTGAAATCTATCCAAATATCCCCTCACAGATTCTACAAAAAGAGTGTTTCAAAACTGCTCTGTAAAAAGAAAGGTTCAACTCTGTTAGTTGAGTACACACATCACAAACAAGTTTCACAGAATGCTTCTTTCTAGCTTGTAGGGGAAGATACTCCCTTTATCACCATGCGCCTCAAACCGTCCGAAACGTCCACTTCCATATACTACAAAAAGAGCGTTTCAAACCTGCTCTAGGAAAGGCAATGTTCAACTCTGTGACTTGAATGCAGACATCACAGAGCAGTTTCTGAGAATGCTTCTGTCTAGATTTTATAGGAAGATATTCCCGTTTCCAACGAAATCTTCACAGCTATCCAAATATCCACTTGCAGATTCTACAAAAAGAGTGTATCAAAACTGCTCTGTCGAAAGGAAGGTTCTCCTCTGTTAGGTGAGTGCATACGTCATAAAGGAGTTTCTGAGAATGTTTCTGTCTAGTGGTTATGGGAAGATATTTGCTTTTTCCCCGTAGGCCTCAGGGCGCTCCAAATGTCCACTTGCACATGCTACAAAAAGAGTGCTTCAAAGCTACTCTCTGGAAGGGAATGTTCAACTCTATGAGTTGAATGCAAACATCACAAAGACCTTTCTGAGAATGCTTCTGTCTAGATTTGATATGAAGATATTCCCGTTTCCAACGAAATCTTCAAATCTATCCAAATGTCCCCTTGCAGATTCAACAAAAATTGTTTTTCAGAACTGCTCTATCAAAAGAAAGATCCACGTGTGTTAGCTGAGTTCACACATCACAAACAAGTTTATGAGAATGCTTCTGTCTAGTTTTTATTTGAAGATATTTCCTTTCTCACCGTAGACCTGAAAGCTGTCCTAATGTTCACTTCCAGATACTACAGAAAGAGTGTTTCAAAACTGCTGTACGAAAGGGAATGTTCAACTCTGTGACTTGAATGCACACATCACAAAGAAGTTTCTGAGGATGCTGCTGTCTACTTTTTATACTTAATCCCGTTTCCAACGAAATCCTTCAAGCTATCCAAATATCCACTTGCAGATTCCACAGAAAGACTGTTTCAAAACTGCTCTGTCAATAGAAAGGTTCAACTCTGTTAGCTGCGTGCATATATCCCAAAGAAGATTCTGAGATTGCTTCTGTCTAGTTTTTATGGGAAGATATTTCCCTTTTCACCGTAGGTGTCAAGGCGCTTCAAATGTCCACTTCCAGATACTACAAAAAGAGTGTTTCAAACCTACTCTCTGAAAGGGAATATTCAACTCTGTGACTTGAATGCAGATATCACAATGAAGTTTCTGAGAATGCTTCTGTCGAGATTTTATATGAAGATATTCCCGTTTCCAACGAAATCCTGAAATCTATCCAAATATCCCCTCGCAGATTCTACAAAAAGAGTGTTTCAAAACTGCTCTGTGAAAAGAAAGGTTCAACTCTGTTAGTTGAGTACAGACATCACAAACAAGTTTCACAGAATGCTTCTTTCTAGCTTGTAGGGGAAGATATTCCCTTTATCACCATAGGCCTCCAACCGTCCGAAACATCCACTTCCATATACTACAAAAAGAGCGTTTCAAACCTGCTCTATGAAAGGCAATGTTCAACTCTGTGACTTGAATGCAGACATCACAGAGCAGTTTCTGAGAATGCTTCTGTCTAGATTTTATAGGAAGATATTCCCGCTTCCAACGAAATCTTCACAGCTATCCAAATATCCACTTGCAGATTCTACAAAAAGAGTGTATCAAAACTGCTCTGTCAAAAGGAAGGTTCTTCTCTGTTAGTTGAGTACATACGTCATAAAGGAGTTTCTGAGAATGTTTCTGTCTAGTGGTTATGGGAAGATATTTGCTTTTTCACCGTAGGCCTCAGAGCGCACCAAATATCCACTTGCACATACTACAAAAGGAGTGCTTCAAAGCTGCTCTCTGAAACGGAATGTTCAACTCTATGAGTTGAATGCAAACATCACAAAGACGTTTCTGAGAATGCGTCTGTCTAGATTTGATATGAAGATATTCCCGTTTCCAACGAAATCTTCAAATCTTTCCAAATGTCCACTTGCAGATTCAACAAAAAGTGTTTTTCAGAACTGCTCTATCAAAAGAAAGATCCACCTCTGTTAGCTGAGTTCACACATCACAAACAAGTTTATGAGAATGCTTCTGTCTAGTTTTTATTTGAAGATATTTCCTTTCTCACCATAGACCTGAAAGCTGTCCTAATGTTCACTTCCAGATACTACAGAAAGAGTGTTTCAAAACTGCTGTACGAAAGGGAATGTTCAACTCTGTGACTTGAATGCCCACATCACAAAGATGTTTCTGAGGATGCTGCGGTCTACTTTTTATACGTAATCCCGTTTCCAACGAAATCCTCCAAGCTATCCAAATATCCACTTGCAGATTCCACAGAAAGACTGTTTCAAAACTGCTCTGTCAATAGAAAGGTTCAACTCTGTTAGCTGCGTGCATATATCCCAAAGAAGATTCTGAGATTGCTTCTGTCTAGTTTTTATGGGAAGATATTTCCCTTTTCACCATAGGCGTCAAGGCGCTCCAAATGTCCACTTCCAGATACTACAAAAAGAGTGTTTCAAACCTACTCTGTGAAAGGGAATATTCAACTCTGTGACTTGAATGCACATATCACAAGGAAGTTTCTGAGAATGCTTCTGTCGAGATTTTATATGAAGATATTCCCGTTTCCAACCAAATCCTGAAATCTATCCAAATATCCCCTCGCAGATTCTACAAAAAGAGTGTTTCAAAACTGCTCTGTAAAAAGAAAGGTTCAACTCTGTTAGTTGAGTACACACCTCACAAACAAGTTTCACAGAATGCTTCTTTCTAGCTTGTAGGGGAAGATATTCCCTTTATCACCATGGGCCTCAAACCGTCCGATAAGTCCACTTCCATATACTACAAAAAGAGCGTTTCAAACCTGCTCTATGAAGGGCAATGTTCAACTCTGTGACTTGAATGCAGACATCACAGAGCAGTTTCTGAGAATGCTTCTGTCCAGACTTTATAGGAAGATATTCCCGTTTCCAACGAAATCTTCACAGCTATCCAAATATCCACTTGCAGATACTACAAAAAGAGTGTATCAAAAATGCTCTGTCAAAAGGAAAGTTCTTATCTGCTAGTTGAGTACATACGTCATAAAGAAGTTTCTGAGAATGTTTCTGTCTAGTGGTTATGGGAAGATATTTGCTTTTTCACCGTAGGCCTCAGAGCGCTCCAAATATCCACTTGCACATACTACAAAAAGAGTGCCTCAAACTGCTCTCTGAAACGGAATGTTCAACTCTATGAGTTGAATGCAAACATCCCAAAGACGTTTCTGAGAATGCTTCTGTCTAGATTTGATATGAAGATATTCCCGTTTCCAACGAAATCTTCAAATCTATCCAAATGTCCACTTGCAGATTCAACAAAAAGTGTTTTTCAGAACTGCTCTATCAAAAGAAAGACCCATCTCTGTTAGCTGAGTTCACACATCACAAACAAGTTTATGAGAATGCTTCTGTCTAGTTTTTATTGGAAGATATTTCCCTTCTCACCATAGACCTGAAAGCTGTCCTAATGTTCACTTCCAGATACTACAGAAAGAGTGTTTCAAAACTGCTGTACGAAAGGGAATGTTCAACTCTGTGACTTGAATGCACACATCACAAAGAAGTTTCTGAGGATGCTGCTGTCTACTTTTTATACGTAATCCCGTTTCCAACGAAATCCTCCAAGCTATCCAAATATCCACTTGCAGATTCCACAGAAAGACTGTTTCAAAACTGCTATGTCAATAGAAAGGTTCAACTCTGTTAGCTCCGTGCATATATCCCAAAGAAGATTCTGAGATTACTTCTGTCTAGTTTTTATGGGAAGATATTTCCCTTTTCACCGTAGGCGTCAAGGCGCTCCAAATGTCCACTTCCAGATACTACAAAAAGAGTGTTTCAAACCTACTCTGTGAAAGGGAATATTCAACTCTCTGACTTGAATGCACATATCACAAAGAAGTTTCTGAGAATGCTTCTGTCGAGATTTTATATGAAGATATTCCCGTTTCCAATGAAATCCTGAAATCTATCCAAATATCCCCTCGCAGATTCTACAAAAAGAGTGTTTCAAAACTGCTCTGTAAAAAGAAAGGTTCAACTCTGTTGGTTGTGTACACACATCACAAACAAGTTTCACAGAATGCTTCTTTCTAGCTTGTGGGGGAAGATATTCCCTTTATCACCATGGGACTCAAACCGTCCGAAACGTCCACTTCCATATACTACAAAAAGAGCGTTTCAAACCTGCTCTATGAAAGGCAATGTTCAACTCTGTGACTTGAATGCAGACATCACAGAGCAGTTTCTGAGAATGCTTCTGTCTAGATTTTATAGGAAGATATTCCCGTTTCCAACGAAATATTCACAGGTATCCAAATATCCACTTGCAGATTCTACAAAAAGAGTGTATCAAAACTGCTCTGTCAAAAGGAAGGTTCTTCTCTGTTAGGTGAGTGCATACGTCATAAAGGAGTTTCTGAGAATGTTTCAGTCTAGTGGTTATGGGAAGATATTTGCTTTTTCACTGCAGGCCTCACAGCGCTCCAAATATCCACTTGCACATACTACAAAAAGAGTGCTTCAAAGCTGCTCTCTGAAACGGAATGTTCAACTCTATGAGTTGAATGCAAACATCACAAAGACGTTTCCGAGAAATGCTTCTGTCTAGATTTGATATGAAGATATTCCCGTTTCCAACGAAATCTTCAAATCTATCCAAATGTCCACTTGCAGATTCAACAAAAAGTGTTTTTCAGAACTGCTGTATCAAAAGAAAGATCCACCTCTGTTAGCTGAGTTCACACTTCACAAACAAGTTTATCAGAATGCTTCTGTCTAGTTTTTATTTGAAGATATTTCCTTTCTCACCATAGACCTGAAAGCTGTCCTAATGTTCACTTCCAGGTACTACAGAAAGAGTGTTTCAAAACTGCTGTACGAAAGGGAAAGTTCAACTCTGTGACTTGAATGCACACATCACAAAGAAGTTTCTGAGGATGCTCTGTCTACTTTTTATGCGTAATCCCGTTTCCAACGAAATCCTCCAAGCTATCCAAATATCCACTTGCAGATTCCACAGAAAGACTGTTTCAAAACTGCTCTGTCAATAGAAAGGTTCAACTCTGTTAGCTGCGTGCATATATCCCAAAGAAGATTCTGAGATTGCTTTCTGTCTAGTTTTTATGGGAAGATATTTCCCTTTTCACCGTAGGTGTCAAGGCGCTCCAAATGTCCACTTCCAGATACTACAAAAAGAGTGTTTCAAACCTACTCTGTGAAAGGGAATATTCAACTCTGTGGCTTGAATGCCGATATCACAAAGAAGTTTCTGAGAATGCTTCTGTCGAGATTTTATATGAAGATATTCCCGTTTCCAACGAAATCCTGAAATCTATCCAAATATCCGCTCGCAGATTGTACAAAAAGAGTGTTTCAAAACTGCTCTGTGAAAAGAAAGGTTCAACTCTGTTAGTTGAGTACACACATCACAAACAAGTTTCACAGAATGCTTCTTTCTAGCTTGTAGGGGAAGATATTCCCTTTATCACCATGGGCCTCAAACCGTCCGAAACATCCACTTCCATATACTGCAAAAAGAGCGTTTCAAACCTGCTCTATGAAAGGCAATGTTCAACTCTGTGACTTGAATGCAGACATCACAGAGCAGTTTCTGAGAATGCTTCTGTCTAGATTTTATAGGAAGATATTCCCGTTTCCAACGAAATCTTCACAGCTATCCCAATATCCACTTGCAGATTCTACAAAAAGACTGTATCAAAACTGCTCTGTCAAAAGGAAGGTTCTTCTCTGTTAGGTGAGTGCATACGTCATAAAGGAGTTTCTGAGAATGTTCCTGTCTAGTGGTTATGGGAAGATATTTGCTTTTTCACCGTAGGCCTCAGAGCGCTCCAAATATCCACTTGCACATACTACAAAAAGAGTGCTTCAAAGCTGGTCTCTGAAACGGAATGTTCAACTCTATGAGTTGAATGCAAACATCACAAAGACGTTTCTGAGAATGCTTCTGTCTAGATTTGATGTGAAGATATTCCCGTTTCCAACGAAATCTTCATATCTATCCAAATGTCCACTTGCAGATTCAACAAAAAGTGTTTTTCAAAACTGCTGTATCAAAAGAAAGATCCACGTGTGTTAGCTGAGTTCACACATCACAAACAAGTTTATGAGAATGCTTCTGTCTAGTTTTTATTTGAAGATATTTCCTTTCTCACCATAGACCTGAAAGCTGTCCTAATGTTCACTTCCAGATACTACAGAAAGAGTGTTTCAAAACTGCTGTACGAAAGGGAATGTTCAACTCTGTGACTTGAATGCACACATCACAAAGAAGTTTCTGAGGACGCTGCTGTCTACTTTTTATACGTAATCCCGTTTCCAACGAAATCCTCCAATCTATCCAAATATCCACTTGCAGATTCCACAGAAAGACTGTTTCAAAACTGCTCTGTCAATAGAAAAGTTCAACTCTGTTAGCTGCGTGCATATATCGCAAAGAAGATTCTGAGATTGCTTCTGTCTAGTTTTTATGGGAAGATATTTCCCTTTTCACCGTAGGTGTCAAGGCGCTCCAAATGTCCACTTCCAGATACTACAAAAAGAGTGTTTCAAACCTACTCTGTGAAAGGGAATATTCAACTCTGTGACTCGAATGCACATATAACAAAGAAGTTTCTGAGAATGCTTCTGTCGAGATTTTATATGAAGATATTCCCGTTACCAACGAAATCCTGAAATCTATCCAAATATCCCCTCGCAGATTCTACAAAAAGAGTGTTTCAAAACTGCTCTGTAAAAAGAAAGGTTCAACTCTGTTAGTTGAGTACACACATCACAAACAAGTTTCACAGAATGCTTCTTTCTAGCTTGTACGGGAAGATATTCCCTTTATCACCATGGGCCTCCAACCGTCCGAAACATCCACTTCCATATACTACAAAAAGAGCGTTTCAAACCTGCTCTATGAAAGGCAATGTTCAACTCTGTGACTTGAATGCAGACATCACAGAGCAGTTTCTGAGAATGCTTCTGTCTAGATTTTATAGGAAGATATTCCCGTTTCCAACGAAATCTTCACAGCTATCCAAATATCCACTTGCAGATTCTACAAAAAGAGTGTATCAAAACTGCTCTGTCAAAAGGAAGGATCTTCTCTGTTAGTTGAGTACATACGTCATAAAGGAGTTTCTGAGAATGTTTCTGTCTAGTGGTTATGGGAAGATATTTGCTTTTTCACCTTAGGCCTCAGAGCGCTCCAAATATCCCCTTGCACATACTACAAAAAGAGTGCTTCAAAGCTGCTTTCTGAAACGGAATGTTCAACTCTATGAGTTGAATGCAAACATCACAAAGACGTTTCTGAGAATGCTTCTGTCTAGATTTGATATGAAGATATTCCCGTTTCCAACGAAATCTTCAATTCTATCAAAATGTCCACTTGCAGATTCAACAAAAAGTGTTTTTCAGAACTGCTCTATCAAAAGAAAGATCCACCTCTGTTAGCTGAGTTCACACTTCACAAACAAGTTTATCAGAATGCTTCTGTCTAGTTTTTATTTGAAGATATTTCCTTTCTCACCATAGAGCTGAAAGCTGTTCTAATGTTCACTTCCAGATACTACAGGAAGAGTGTTTCAAAACTGCTGTACGAAAGGGAATGTTCAACTCTGTGACTTGAATGCACACATCACAAAGAAGTTTCTGAGGATGCTGCTGTCTACTTTTTATGCGTAATCCCGTTTCCAACGAAATCCTCCAAGCTATCCAAATATCCACTTGCAGATTCCACAGAAAGACTGTTTCAAAACTGCTCTGTCAATAGAAAGGTTCAACTCTGTTAGCTGCGTGCATATATCCCCAAAGAAGATTCTGAGATTGCTTCTGTCTAGTTTTCATGGGAAATATTTCCCTTTTCACCGTAGGTGTCAAGGCGCTCCAAATGTCCACTTCCAGATACTACAAAAAGAGTGTTTCAAACCTACTCTGTGAAAGGGAATATTCAACTCTGTGACTTGAATGCACATATCACAAAGAAGTTTCTGAGAATGCTTCTGTCGAGATTTTATATGAAGATATTCCCGTTTCCAACGAAATCCTGAAATCTATCCAAATATCCCCTCGCAGATTCTACAAAAAGAGTGTTTCAAAACTGCTCTGTGAAAAGAAAGGTTCAACTCTGTTAGTTGAGTACACACATCACAAACAAGTTTCACACAATTCTTCTTTCTAGCTTGTAGGGGAAGATATTCCCTTTATCACCATGGGCCTCAAACCGTCCGAAACGTCCACTTCCATATACTACAAAAAGAGCGTTTCAAACCTGCTCTATGAAAGGCAATGTTCAACTCTGTGACGTGAATGCAGACATCACAGAGCAGTTTCTGAGAATGCTTCTGTCTAGATTTCATAGGAAGATATTCCCGTTTCCAACGAAATCTTCACAGCTATCCAAATATCCACTTGCAGATTCTACAAAAAGAGTGTATCAAAAGTGCTCTGTCAAAAGGAAAGTTCTTCTCTGCTAGTTGAGTACATACGTCATAAAGAAGTTTCTGAGAATGTTTCTGTCTAGTGGTTATGGGAAGATATTTGCTTTTTCCCCGTAGGCCTCAGGGCGCTCCAAATGTCCACTTGCACATGCTACAAAAAGAGTGCATCAAAGCTGCTCTCTGAAAGGGAATGTTCAACTCTATGAGTTGAATGCAAACATCACAAAGACGTTTCTGAGAATGCTTCTGTCTAGATTTGATATGAAGATATTCCCGTTTCCAACGAAATCTTCAAATCTATCCAAATGTCCACTTGCAGATTCAACAAAAAGTGTTTTTCAGAACTGCTCTATCAAAAGAAAGATCCACCTCTGTTAGCTGAGTTCACACATCACAAACAACTTTATGAGAATGCTTCTGTCTAGTTTTTATTTGAAGATATTTACTTTCTCACCATAGACCTGAAAGCTGTCCTAATGTTCACTTCCAGATACTACAGAAAGAGTGTTTCAATACTGCTGTACGAAAGGGAATGTTCAACTCTGTGACTTGAATGCACACATCACAAAGAAGTTTCTGAGGATGCTGCTGTCTTACTTTTTATACGTAATCCCGTTTCCAACGAAATCCTCCAAGCTATCCAAATATCCACTTGCAGATTCCACAGAAAGACTGTTTCAAAACTGCTCTGTCAATAGAAAGGTTCAACTCTGTTAGCTGCGTGCATATATCCCAAAGAAGATTCTGAGGATTGCTTCTGTCTAGTTTTTATGGGAAGATATTTCCCTTTTCACCGTAGGCGTCAAGGCGCTCCAAATGTCCACTTCCAGATACTACAAAAAGAGTGTTTCAAACCTACTCTGTGAAAGGCAGAATATTCAGCTCTGTGACTTGAATGCACATATCACAAAGAAGTTTCTGAGAATGCTTCTGTCGAGATTTTATATGAAGATATTCCCGTTTCCAACGAAATCCTGAAATCTATCCAAATATCCCCTCGCAGATTCTACAAAAAGAGTGTATCAAAACTGCTCTGTAAAAAGAAAGGTTCAACTCTGTTAGTTGAGTACACACATCACAAACAAGTTTCACAGAATGCTTCTTTCTAGCTTGTAGGGGAAGATATTCCCTTTATCACCATCGGCCTCAAACCGTCTGAAACGTCCACTTCCATATACTACAAAAAGAGCGTTTCAAACCTGCTCTAGGAAAGGCAATGTTCAACTCTGTGACTTGAATGCAGACATCACAGAGCAGTTTCTGAGAATGCTTCTGTCTAGATTTTATAGGAAGATATTCCCGTTTCCAACGAAATCTTCACAGCTATCCAAATATCCACTTGCAGATTCTACAAAAAGAGTGTATCAAAACTGCTCTGTCAAAAGGAAGGTTTTTCTCTGTTAGGTGAGTGCATACGTCATAAAGGAGTTTCTGAGAATGTTTTCTGTCTAGTGGTTATGGGAAGATATTTGCTTTTTCACCGTAGGCCTCAGTGCGCTCCAAATATCCACTTGCACATACTACAAAAAGAGTGCCTCAAAGCTGCTCTCTGAAACGGAATGTTCAACTCTATGAGTTGAATGCAAACATCACAAAGACGTTTCTGAGAATGCCTCTGTCTAGATTTGATATGAAGATATTCCCGTTTCCAACGAAATCTTCAAATCTATCCAAATGTCCACTTGCAGATTCTACAAAAAGTGTTTTTCAAAACTGCTGTATCAAAAGAAAGATCCACGTCTGTTAGCTGAGTTCACACATCACAAACAAGTTTATGAGAATGCTTCTGTCTAGTTTTTATTTGAAGATATTTCCTTTCTCACCATAGACCTGAAAGCTGTCCTAATGTACACTTCCAGATACTACAGAAAGAGTGTTTCAAAACTGCTGTACGAAAGGGAATGTTCAACTCTGTGACTTGAATGCACACATCACAAAGAAGTTTCTGAGGATGCTGCTGTCTACTTTTTATACGTAATCCCGTTTCCAACGAAATCCTCCAAGCTATCCAAATATCCACTTGCAGATTCCACAGAAAGACTGTTTCAAAACTGCTCTGTCAATAGAAAGGTTCAACTCTTTTAGCTGCGTGCATATATCCCAAAGAAGATTCTGAGATTGCTTCTGTCTAGTTTTTATGGGAAGATATTTCCCTTTTCACCGTAGGTGTCAAGGCGCTCCAAATGTCCACTTCCAGATACTACAAAAAGAGTGTTTCAAACCTACTCTCTGAAAGGGAATATTCAACTCTGTGACTTGAATGCAGATATCACAAAGAAGTTTCTGAGAATGCTTCTGTCGAGATTTTATATGAAGATATTCCCGTTTCCAATGAAATCCTGAAAGCTATCCAAATATCCCCTCGCAGATTCTACAAAAAGAGTGTTTCAAAACTGCTCTGTCAAAAGGAAGGTTCTTCTCTGTTAGTTGAGTACATACGTCATAAAGGAGTTTCTGAGAATGTTTCTTTCTAGCTTGTATGGGAAGATATTCCCTTTATCACCATGGGCCTCAAACCGTCCGAAACGTCCACTTCCATATACTACAAAAAGAGTGTTTCAAACCTGCTCTATGAACGGCAATGTTCAACTCTGTGAGTTGAATGCAGACATCACAGAGCAGTTTCTGAGAATGCTTCTGTCTAGATTTTATAGGAAGATATTCCCGTTTCCAACGAAATCTTCACAGCTATCCAAATATCCACTTGCAGATTCTACAAAAAGAGTGTATCAAAACTGCTCTGTCAAAAGGAAGGTTCTTCTCTGTTATGTGAGTGCATACGTCATAAAGGAGTTTCTGAGAATGTTTCTGTCTAGTGGTTATGGGAAGATATTTGCTTTTTCACCTTAGGCCTCAGAGCGCTCAAAATATCCACTTGCACATACTACAAAAAGAGCGCTTCAAAGCTGCTCTCTGTAACAGAATGTTCAACTCTATGGGTTGAATGCAAACATCACAAAGACGTTTCTGAGAATGCTTCTGTCTAGATTTGATATGAAGATATTCCCGTTTCCAACGAAATCTTCAAATCTATCCAAATGTCCACTTGCAGATTCAACAAAATGTTTTTCAGAACTGCTCTATCAAAAGAAAGATCCACCTCTGTTAGCTGAGATCACACTTCACAAACAAGTTTATCAGAATGCTTCTGTCTAGTTTTTATTTGAAGATATATCCTTTCTCACTATAGACCTGAAAGCTCTCCTAAAGTTCACTTCCAGATACTACAGAAAGAGTGTTTCAAAACTGCTGTACGAAAGGGAATGTTCAACTCTGTGACTTGAATGCACACATCACAAGGTTGTTTCTGAGGATGCTGCTGTCTACTTTTTATACGTAATCCCGTTTCCAACGAAATCCTCCAAGCTATCCAAATATCCACTTACAGATTCCACAGAAAGACTGTTTCAAAACTGCTCTGTCAATAGAAAGGTTCAACTCTATTAGCTGCGTACATATATCCCAAAGAAGATTCTGAGATTGCTTCTGTCTACTTTTTATGAGAAGATATTTCCCTTTTCACCGTAGGCGTCAAGGCGCTCCAAATGTCCACTTCAGATACTACAAAAAGAGTGTTTCAAACCTACTCTGTGATAGGGAATATTGAACTCTGTGACTTGAATGCACATATCACAAAGAAGTTTCAGAGAATGCTTCTGTCAAGATTTTATATGAAGATATTCCCCTTTCCAACGAAATCCTGAAATCTATCCAAATATCCCCTCGCAGATTCTACAAAAAGAGTGTTTCAAAACTGCTCTGTAAAAAGAAAGGTTCAACTCTGTTAGTTGAGTACACACATCACAAACAAGTTTCACAGAATGCTCTTTCTAGCTTGTAGGGGAAGATATTCCCTTTATCACCATGGGCCTCAAACCGTCCGAAACGTCCACTTCCATATACTACAAAAAGAGTGTTTCAAACCTGCTCTATGAACGGCAATGTTCAACTCTGTGACTTGAATGCAGACATCACAGAGCAGTTTCTGAGAATGCTTTCTGTCTAGATTTTATAGGAAGATATTCCCGTTTCCAACGAAATCTTCACAGCTATCCAAATATCCACTTGCAGATTCCACAAAAAGAGTGTATCAAAACTGCTCTGTCAAAAGGAAGGTTCTTCTCCTGTTAGTTGAGTACATACGTCATAAAGGAGTTTCTGAGAATGTTTCTGTCTAGTGGTTATGAGAAGATATTTGCTTTTTCACCGTAGGCCTCAGAGCGCTCCAAATATCCACTTGCACATACTACAAAAAGAGTGCTTCAAAGCTGCTCTCTGAAACGGAATGTTCAACTCTATGAGTTGAATGCAAACATCGCAAAGACGTTTCTGAGAATGCTTCTGTCTAGATTTGATATGACGATATTCCCGTTTCCAACGAAATATTCAAATCTATCCAAATGTCCACTTGCAGATTCAACAAAAAGTGTTTTTCAGAACTGCTCTATCAAAAGAAAGATCCACCTCTGTTAGCTGAGTTCACACATCACAAACAAGTTTATGAGAATGCTTATCTGTCTAGTTTTTATTTGAAGATATATCCTTTCTCACTATAGACCTGAAAGCTGTCCTAAAGTTCACTTCCAGATACTACAGAAAGAGTGTTTCAAAACTGCTGTACGAAAGGGAATGTTCAACTCTGTGACTTCAATGCACACATCACAAGGATGTTTCTGAGGATGCTGCTGTCTACTTTGTATACGTAATCCCGTTTCCAACGAAATCCTCCAAGCTATCCAAATATCCACTTGCAGATTCCACAAAAAGAGTGTTTCAAAACTGCTCTGTCAATAGAAAGGTTCACCTCTGTTAGCTGGGTGCATACATCCCAAAGAAGATTCTGAGGTTGCTTCTGTCTAGTTTTTATGGGAAGATATTTCCCTTTTCACCATAGGCATCAAGGCGCTCCAAATGTCCACTTCCAGATACTACAAAAAGAGTGTTTCAAACCTACTCTGTGAAAGGGAATATTCAACTCTGTGACTTGAATGCACATATCACGAAGAAGTTTCTGCGAATGCTTCTGTCGAGATTTTATATGAAGATATTCCCGTTTCCAACGAAATCCTGAAATCTATCCAAATATCCCCTCACATATTCTACAAAAAGAGTGTTTCAAAACTGCTCTGTAAAAAGAAAGGTTCAACTCTGTTAGTTGAGTACACACCTCACAAACAAGTTTCACAGAATGCTTCTTTCTAGCTTGTAGGGGAAGATATTCCCTTTATCACCATGGGCCTCAAACCGTCCGAAACGTCTACTTCCATATACTACAAAAAGAGCGTTTCAAACCTGCTCTATGAAAGACAATGTTCAACTCTGTGACTTGAATGCAGACATCACAGAGCAGTTTCTGAGAATGCTTCTGTCAAGATTTTATAGGAAGATATTCCCGTTTCCGACGAAATCTTCACAGCTATCCAAATATCCACTTGCAGATTCTACAAAAAGAGTGTATCAAAACTGCTCTGTCAAAAGGAAGGTTCTTCTCTGCTAGGTGAGTGCATACGTCATAAAGGAGTTTCTGAGAATGTTTTCTGTCTAGTGGTTATGGGAAGATATTTGCTTTTTCCCCGTAGGCCTCAGAGCGCTCCAAATGTCCACTTGCACATGCTACAAAAAGAGTGCTTCAAAGCTGCTCTCTGAAAGGGAATGTTCAACTCTATGAGTTGAATGTAAACATCACAAAGACGTTTCTGAGAATGCTTCTGTCTAGATTTGATATGAAGATATTCCCGTTTCCAACGAAATCTTCAAATCTATCCAAATGTCCACTTGCAGACTCAACAAAAAGTGTTTTTCAGAACTGCTCTATCAAAAGAAAGATCCACCTCTGTTAGCTGAGTTCAGACATCACAAACAAGTTTATGAGAATGCTTCCTGTCTAGTTTTTATTTTTAGATATTTCCTTTCTCACCGCAGACCTGAAAACTCTCATAATGTTCACTTCCAGATACTACAGAAAGAGTGTTTGAAACCTGCTGTATGAAAGGGAATGTTGAACTCTGTGACATGAATGCACACATCACAACGAAGTTTCTGAGAATGCTGCTGTCTACTTTTTATACGTAATCCCGTTTCCAACGAAATCCTCCAAGCTATCCAAATATCCACTTGCAGATTCCACAGAAAGACTGTTTCAAAACTGCTCTGTCAATAGAAAGGTTCAACTCTGTAAACTGCGTGCATATATCCCAAAGAAGATTCTGAGATTGCTTCTGTCTAGTTTTTATGGGAAGATATTTCCCTTTTCACCGTAGGCGTCAAGGCGCTCCAAATGTCCACTTCCAGATACTACAAAAAGAGTGTTTCAAACCTACTCTGTGAAAGGGAATATTCAACTCTGTGACTTGAATGCAGATATCACAAAGAAGATTCTGAGAATGCTTCTGTCGAGATTTTATATGAAGATATTCCCGTTTCCCACGAAATCCTGAAATCTCTCCAAATATCCCCTCGCAGATTCTACAAAAAGAGTGTTTCAAAACTGCTCTGTAAAAAGAAAGGTTCAACTCTGTTACTTGAGTACACACATCACAAACAAGTTTCACAGAATGATTCTTTCTAGCTTGTAGGGGAAGATATTCCCTTTATCACCATGGGCCTCAAACCGTCCGAAACGTCCACTTCCATATACTACAAAAAGAGCGTTTCAAACCTGCTCTATGAAAGGCAATGGTCAACTCCGTGACATGAATGCAGACATCACAGAGCAGTTTCTGAGAATGCTTCTGTCTAGATTTTATAGGAAGATATTCCCGTTTCCAATGAAATCTTCACAGCTATCCCAATATCCACTTGCAGATTCTACAAAAAGAGTGTATCAAAAGTGCTCTGTCAAAAGGAAGGTCCTTCTCTGTTAGGTGAGTGCATACGTCATAAAGGAGTTTCTGAGAATGTTTCTGTCTGGTGGTTATGGGAAGATATTTGCTTTTTCACCAAAGGCTTCAGAGCACTCCAGATATCCACTTGCACATACTACAAAATGAGTGCCTCAAAGCTGCTCTCTGAAACGGAATGTTCAACTCTATGAGTTGAATGCAAACATCACAAAGACGTTTCCGAGAATGCTTCTGCCTAGATTTGATATGAAGATATTCCCGTTTCCAACGAAATCTTCAAATCTATCCAAATGTCCACCTGCAGATTCAACAAAAAGTGTTTTTCAGAACTGCTCTATCAAAAGAAAGATCCATCTCTGTTAGCTGAGTTCACACATCACAAACAAGTTTATGAGAATGCTTTTGTCTAGTTTTTATTTGAAGATATTTCCTTTCTCACCATAGACCTGAAAGCTGTCCTAATGTTCACTTCCAGTTACTACAGAAAGAGTGTTTCAAAACTGCTGTACGAAAGGGAATGTTCAACTCTGTGACTTGAATGCACACATCACAAAGAAGTTTGCTGAGGATGCTGCTGTCTACTTTTTATACGTAATCCCGTTTCCAACAAAATCCTCCAAGCTATCCAAATATCCACTTGCAGATTCCACAGAAAGACTGTTTCAAAACTGCTCTGTCAATAGAAATGTTCAACTCTGTTAGCTGCGTGCATATATCCCAAAGAAGATTCTGAGATTGCTTCTGTCTAGTTTTTATGGGAAGATATTTCCCTTTTCACCGTAGGCGTCAAGGCTCTCCAAATGTCCACTTCCAGATACTACAAAAAGAGTGTTTCAAACCTACTCTGTGAAAGGGAATATTCAACTCTGTGACTTGAATGCACATATCACAAAGAAGTTTCTGAGAATGCTTCTGTCGAGATTTTATATGAAGATATTCCCGTTTCCAACGAAATTCTGAAATCTATCCAAATATCCCCTCGCAGATTCTACAAAAAGAGTGTTTCAAAACTGCTCTGTAAAAAGAAAGGTTCAACTCTGTTAGTTGAGTACACACATCACAAACAAGTATCACAGAATGCTTCTTTCTAGCTTGTAGGGGAAGATATTTCCTTTATCACCATGGTCCTCAATCCGTCCGAAACGTGCTCTTCCATATACTAAAAAAAGAGTGTTTGAAACCTACTCTATGAAAGGCAACGTTCAACTCTGTGACTTGAATGCAGACATCACAGAGCAGTTTCTGAGAATGCTGCTGTCTAGATTTTATAGGAAGATATTCCCGTTTCCAACGAAATCTTCAATGCTATTCAAATATCCACTTGCAGATTCTACAAAAAGAGTGTATCAAAACTGCTCTGTCAAAAGGAAGGTTCTTCTCTGTTAGGTGAGTGCATACGTCATAAAGGAGTTTCTGAGAATGTTTCTGTCTAGTGGTTATGGGAAGATATTTGCTTTTTCACCGTTGGCCTCAGAGCGCTCCAAATATCCACTTGCACATACTACAAAAAGAGTCTTTCAAAGCTGCTCTCTGAAAGGGAATGTTCAACTCTATGAGTTGAATGCAAACATGACAAAGACGTTTCTGAGAATGCTTCTGTCTAGATTTGATATGAAGATATTCCCGTTTCCAAGGAAATCTTCAAATCTATCCAAATGTCCACTTGCAGATTCAACAAAAATTGTTTTTCAGAACTGCTCTATCAAAAGAAAGATCCACGTGTGTTAGCTGAGTTCACACATAACAAACAAGTTTATGAGAATGCTTCTGTCTAGTTTTTATTTGAAGATATATCCTTTCTCACTATAGACCTGAAAGCTGTCCTAAAGTTCACTTCCAGATACTACAGAAAGAGTATTTCAACACTGCTGTACGAAAGGGAATGTTCAACTCTGTGACTTGAATGCACACATCACAAGGATGTTTCTGAGGATGCTGCTGTCTACTTTTTATACGTAATCCCGTTTCCAACGAAATCCTCCAACTATCCAAATATCCACTTGCAGATTCCACAGAAAGACTGTTTCAAAACTGCTCTGTCAATAGAAAGGTTCAACTCTGTTAGCTGCGTGCATATATCCCAAAGAAGATTCTGAAATTGCTTCTGTCTAGTTTTTATGGGAAGATATTTCCCTTTTCACCGTAGGTGTCAAGGCGCTCCAAATGTCCACTTCCAGATACTACAAAAAGAGTGCTTCAAACCTACTCTGTGAAAGGGAATATTCAACTCTGTGACTTAAAGGCAGATGTCACAAAGAAGTTTCTGAGAATGCTTCTGTCGAGATTTTATATGAAGATATTCCCGTTTCCAACGAAATCCTGAAATCTATCCAAATATCCGCTCGCAGATTCTACAAAAAGAGTGTTTCAAAACTGCTCTGTGAAAAGAAAGGTTCAACTCTTTTAGTTGAGTACACACATCACAAACAAGTTTCACAGAATGCTTCTTTCTAGCTTGTAGGGGAAGATATTCCCTTTATCACCATGGGCCTCCAACCGTCCGAAACATCCACTTCCATATACTACAAAAAGAGCGTTTCAAACCTGGTCTCTGAAAGGCAATGTTCAACTCTGTGACTTGAATGCAGACATCACAGAGCAGTTTCTGAGAATGCTTCTGTCTAGATTTGATATGAAGATATTCCCGTTTCCAAAGAAATCTTCAGAGCTATCCAAATATCCACTTGCATATTCTACAAAAAGAGTGTATCAAAAATGCTCTGTCAAAAGGTAGGTTCTTCTCTGTTAGTTGAGTACATACGTCAGAAAGAAGTTTCTGAGAATGTTTCTGTCTAGTGGTTATGGGAAGATATTTGCTTTTTCCCCGTAGGCCTCAGGGCGCTCCAAATGTCCACTTGCACATGCTACAAAAAGAGTGCTTCAAAGCTACTCTCTGGAAGGGAATGTTCAACTCTATGAGTTGAATGCAAACATCACAAAGACGTCTCTGAGAATGCTTCTGTCTAGATTTGATATGAAGATATTCCCGTTTCCAACGAAACCTTCAAATCTATCCAAATGTCCACTTGCAGATTCAACAAAAAGTGTTTTTCAGAACTGCTCTATCAAAAGAAAGATCCACCTTGGTTAGCTGAGTTCACACATCACAAAGAAGTTTATGAGAATGCTTCTGTCTAGTTTTTATTTGAAGATATATCCTTTCCAACTATAGACATGAAAGCTCTCCTAAAATTCACTTCCAGATACTACAGAAAGAGTGTTTCAAAACTGATGTATGAAAGGGAATGTTCAACTCTGTGACTTGAATGCACACATCACAAAGAAGTTTCTGAGGATGCTGCTGTCTACTTTTTATACGTAATCCCGTTTCCAACGAAATCCTCCAAGCTATCCAAATATCCACTTGCAGATTCCACAGAAAGACTGTTTCAAAACTGGTCTGTCAATAGAAAGGTTCAACTCTGTTAGCTGCGTGCATATATCCCAAAGGAGATTCTGAGATTGCTTCTGTCTACTTTTTATGAGAAGATATTTCCCTTTTCACTGTAGGCGTCAAGGCGCTCCAAATGTCCACTTCCAGATACTAGAAAAAGGGTGTTTCAAACCTACTCTGTGAAAGGGAATATTCAACTCTGTGACTTGAATGCACATATCACAAAGAAGCTTCTGAGAATGCTTCTGTCGAGGATTTTATATGAAGATATTCCCGTTTCCAACGAAATCCTGAAATGTATCCAAATATCCCCTCGCAGATTCTACAAAAAGAGTGTTTCAAAACTGCTCTGTAAAAAGAAAGGTTCAACTCTGTTAGTTGAGTACACACATCACAAACAAGTTTCACAGAATGCTTCTTTCTAGCTTGTAGGGGAAGATATTCCCTTTATCACCATGGGCCTCAAACCGTCCGATAAGTCCACTTCCATATACTACAAAAAGAGCGTTTCAAACCTGCTCTATGAAAGGCAATGTTCAACTCTGTGACTTGAATGCAGACATCGCAGAGCAGTTTCTGAGAATGCTTCTGTCTAGATTTTATAGGAAGATATTCCCGTTTCCAACGAAATCTTCACAGCTATCCAAATATCCACTTGCAGATTCTACAAAAAGAGTGTATCAAAACTGCCCTGTCAAAAGGAAGGTTCTTTTCTGTTAGGTGAGTGCATACGTCATAAAGGAGTTTCTGAGAATGTTTCTGTCTAGTGGTTATGGGAAGATATTTGCTTTTTCACCGTAGGCCTCAGAGCGCTCCAAATATCCACTTGCACATACTACAAAAAGAGTGCTTCAAAGCTGCTCTCTGAAAGGGAATTTTCAACTCTATGAGTTGAATGCAAACATCACAAAGCCGTTTCTGAGAATGCTTCTGTCTAGATTTGATATGAAGATATTCCCGTTTCCAACGAAATCTTCAAATCTATCCAAATGTCCACTTGCAGATTCAGCAAAAAGTGTTTTTCAGAACTGCTCTATCAAAAGAAAGATCCACCTCTGTTAGCTGAGTTCACACATCACAAACAAGTTTATGAGAATGCTTCTGTCTAGTTTTTATTTGAAGATATTTCCTTTCTCACCATAGACCTGAAAGCTCTCCTAATGTTCACTTCCAGATACTACAGAAAGAGTGTTTCAAAACTGCTGTACGAAAGGGAATGTTCAACTCTGTGACTTGAATGCAGACATCACAAAGAAGTTTCTGAGGATGCTGCTGTCTACTTTTTATACGTATTCCCGTTTCCAACGAAATCCTCCAAGCTATCCAAATATCCACTTGCAGATTCCACAGAAAGACTGTTTCAAAACTGCTCTGTCAATAGAAAGGTTCAACTCTGTTAGCTGCGTGCATATATCCCAAAGAAGATTCTGAGATTGCTTCTGTCTAGTTTTTATGGGAAGATATTTCTCTTTTCACCGTAGGCGTCAGGGCGCTCCAAATGTCCACTTCCAGATACTACAAAAAGAGTGTTTCAAACCTACTCTGTGAAAGGGAATATTCAACTCTGTGACTTGAATGCAGATATCACAAAGAAGTTTCTGAGAATGCTTCTGTCGAGATTTTATATGAAGATATTCCCCTTTCCAACGAAATCCTGAAATGTATCCAAATATCCCCTCGCAGATTCTACAAAAAGAGTGTTTCAAAACTGCTCTGTAAAAAGAAAGGTTCAACTCTGTTAGTTGAGTACACACATCACAAACAAGTTTCACAGAATGCTTTCTTTCTAGCTTGTAGGGGAAGATATTTCCTTTATCACCATGGGCCTCAAACCGTCCGAAACGTCCACTTCCATATACTAAAAAAAGAGTGTTTGAAACCTGCTCTATGAAAGGCAATGTTCAACTCTGTGACTTGAATGCAGACATCACAGAGAAGTTTCTGAGAATGCTTCTGTCTAGATTTTATAGGGAGATATTCCCGTTTCCAACGAAAGCTTCACAGCTATCCAAATATCCACTTGCAGATTCTACAAAAAGAGTGTATCAAAACTGCTCTGTCAAAAGGAAGGTTCTTCTCTGTTAGGTGAGTGCATACGTCATACAGGAGTTTCTGAGAATGTTTTCTGTCTAGTGGTTATGGGAAGATATTTGCTTTTTCACCGTAGGCCTCAAAGCGCTCCAAATGTCCACTTGCACATACTACAAAAAGAGTGCTTCAAAGCTGCTCTCTGAAACGGAATGTTCAACTCTATGAGTTGAATGCAAACATCACAAAGACGTTTCTGAGAATGCTTCTGTCTAGATTTGATATGAAGATATTCCCGTTTCCAACGAAATCTTCATATCTATCCAAATGTCCACTTGCAGATTCAACAAAAAGTGTTTTTCAAAACTGCTGTATCAAAAGAAAGATCCACGTGTGTTAGCTGAGTTCACACATCACAAACAAGTTTATGAGAATGCTTTCTGTCTAGTTTTTATTTGAAGATATTTCCTTTCTCACCATAGAGATGAAAGCTGTCCTAATGTTCACTTCCAGATACTACAGAAAGAGTGTTTCAAAACTGCTGTACGAAAGGGAATGCTCAACTCTGTGACTTGAATGCACACATCACAAAGAAGTTTCTGAGGATGCTCTGTCTACTTTTTATACGTAATCCCGTTTCCAACGAAATCCTCCAAGCTATCCAAATATCCACTTGCAGATTCCACAGAAAGACTGTTTCAAAACTGCTCTGTCAATAGAAAGGTTCAACTCTGTTAGCTGCGTGCATATATCCCAAAGAAGATTCTGAGATGCTTTCTGTCTAGTTTTTATGGGAAGATATTTCCCTTTCCACCGTAGGCGTCAAGGCGCTCCAAATGTCCACTTCCAGATACTACAAAAAGAGTGTTTCAAACCTTCTCTGTGAAAGGGAATATTCAACTCTGTGACTTGAATGCAGATATCACAAAGAAGTTTCTGAGAATGCTTCTGTCGAGATTTTATATGAAGATATTCCCGTTCCCAACGAAATCTTGAAATCTATCCAAATATCCCCTCGCAGATTCTACAAAAAGAGTGTTTCAAAACTGCTCTGTAAAAGAAAGGTTCAACTCTGTTAGTTGAGTACACACATCACAAACAAGTTTCACAGAATGCTTCTTTCTAGCTTGTAGGGGAAGATATTCCCTTTATCACCATGGGCCTCAAACCGTCCGAAACGTCCACTTCCATATACTACAAAAAGAGCGTTTCAAACCTGCTCTAGGAAAAGCAATGTTCAACTCTGTGACTTGAATGCAGACATCACAGAGCAGTTTGCTGAGAATGCTTCTGTCTAGATTTTATAGGAAGATATTTCCGTTTCCAACGAAATCTTCACAGCTATCCAAATATCCACTTGCAGATTCTACAAAAAGTGTGTATCAAAACTGCTCTGTCAAAAGGAAGGTTCTTCTCTGTTAGGTGAGTGCATACGTCATAAAGGAGTTTCTGAGAATGTTTCTGTCTAGTGGTTATGGGAAGATATTTGCTTTTACACCGTAGGCCTCAGAGCGCTCCAAATATCCACTTGCACATCCTACAAAAAGAGTGCTTCAAAGCTGGTCTCTGAAACGGAATGTTCAACTCTATGAGTTGAATGCAAACATCACAAAGACGTTTCTGAGAATGCTTCTGTGTAGATTTGATATGAAGATATTCCCGTTTCCAACGAAATCTTCAAATCTATCCAAATGTCCACTTGCAGATTCAACAAAAAGTGTTTTTCAGAACTGCTCTATCAAAAGAAAGATCCACCTCTGTTAGCTGAGTTCAGACATCACAAACAAGTTTATGAGAATGCTTCTGTCTAGTTTTTATTTGAAGATATTTCCTTTCTCACCATAGAGCTGAAAGCTGTCCTAATGTTCACTTCCAGATACTACAGAAAGAGTGTTTCAAAACTGCTGTACGAAAGGGAATGTTCAACTCTGTTACTTGAATGCACACATCACAAAGAAGTTTCTGAGGATGCTGCTGTCTACTTTTTATACATAATACCGTTTCCAACGAAATCCTCCAAGCTATCCAAATATCCACTTGCAGATTCCTCAGAAAGACTGTTTCAAAACTGCTCTGTCAATAGAAAGGTTCAACTCTGTTAGCTGCGTGCATATATCCCAAAGAAGATTCTGAGATTGCTTTTGTCTAGTTTTTATGGGAAGATATTTCCCTTTTCACCGTGGGCGTCAAGGCGCTCCAAATGTCCACTTCCAGATACTACAAAAAGAGTGTTTCAAACCTACTCTGTGAAAGGGAATATTCAACTCTGTGACTTGAATGCACATATCACAAGGAAGTTTCTGAGAATGCTTCTGTCGAGATTTTATATGAAGATATTCCCGTTTCCAACGAAATCCTGAAATCTATCCAAATATCCCCTCGCAGATTCTACAAAAAGAGTGTTTCAAAACTGCTCTGTAAAAAGAAAGGTTCAACTCTGTTAGTTGAGTACACACATCACCAACAAGTTTCACAGAATGCTTCTTTCTAGCTTGTAGGGGAAGATATTCCCTTTATCACCATGGGCCTCAAACCGTCTGAAACGTCCACTTCCATATACTGCAAAAAGAGCATTTCAAACCTGCTCTATGAAAGGCAATGTTCAACTCTGTGACTTGAATACAGACATCACAGAGCAGTTTCTGAGAATGCTTCTGTCCGGACTTTATAGGAAGATATTCCCGATTCCAACGAAATCTTCACATCTATCCAAATATCCACTTGCTGATACTACAAAAAGAGTGTATCAAAAATGCTCTGTCAAGAGGACAGTTCTTCTCTGCTAGTTCAGTACATACGTCATAAAGAAGTTTCTGAGAATGTTTCTGTCTAGTGGTTATGGGAAGATATTTGCTTTTTCACCGTAGGCCTCAGAGCGCTCCAAATATCCACTTGCGCATACTACAAAAAGAGTGCTTCAAAGCTGCTCTCTGAAACGGAATGTTCAACTCTATGAGTTGCATGCAAACATCACAAAGACGTTTCTGAGAATGCTTCTGTCTAGATTTGATATGAAGATATTCCCGTTTCCAACGAAATCTTCAAATCTATCCAAATGTCCACTTGCAGATTCAACAAAAAGTGTTTTTCAGAACTGCTCTATCAAAATAAAGATCCACCTCTGTTACCTGAGTTCACACTTCCCAAACAAGTTTTTGAGAATGCTTCTGTCTAGTTTTTATTTGAAGATATTGCCTTTCTCACCATAGACCTGAAAGCTGTACTAATGTTCACTTCCAGATACTACAGAAAGAGTGTTTCAAAACTGCTGTACGAAAGGGAATGTTCAACTCTGTGACTTGAATGCACACATCACAAAGAAGTTTCTGAGGATGCTGCTGTCTACTTTTTATACTTAATCCCGTTTCCAACGAAATCCTCCAAGCTTTCCAAATATCCACTTGCAGATTCCACAGAAAGACTGTTTCAAAACTGCTCTGTCAATAGAAAGGTTCAACTCTGTTAGCTGCGTGCATATATCCCAAAGAAGATTCTGAGATTGCTTTCTGTCTAGTTTTTATGGGAAGATATTTTCCTTTTCACCGTAGGTGTCAAGGCGCTCCAAATGTCCACTTCCAGATACTACAAAAAGAGTGTTTCAAACCTACTCTGTGAAAGCGAATATTCAACTCTGTGACTTGAATGCACATATCACAAAGAAGTTTCTGAGAATGCTTCTGTCGAGATTTTATATGAAGATATTCCCGTTTCCAACGAAATCCTGAAATCTATCCAAATATCCCCTCGCAGATTCTACAAAAAGAGTGTATCAAAACTGCTCTGTAAAAAGAAAGGTTCAACTCTGTTAGTTGAGTACACACATCACAAACAAGTTTCACACAATGCTTCTTTCTAGCTAGTAGGGGAAGCATATTCCCTTTATCACCATGGGCCTCAAACCGTCCGAAACGTCCACTTCCATATACTACAAAAAGAGCGTGTCAAACCTGCTCTATGAAAGGCAATGTTCAACTCTGTGACTTGAATGCAGACATCACAGAGCAGTTTCTGAGAATGCTTCTGTCTAGATTTTATAGGAAGATATTCCCGTTTCCAACGAAATCCTGAAATCTATCCAAATAACCCCTCGCAGATTCTACAAAAAGAGTGTTTCAAAACTGCTCTGTAAAAAGAAAGGTTCAACTCTGTTAGTTGAGTACACACATCACAAACAAGTTTCACAGAATGCTTCTGTCTAGTGGTTATGGGAAGATATTTGATTTTTCACCGTAGGCCTCAGAGCTGCTCCAAATATCCACTTCCACATACTACAAAAAGAGTGCTTCAAAGCTGCTCTCTGAAAGGGAATGTTCAACTCTATGAGTTGAATGCAAACATCTCAAAGACGTTTCTGAGAATGCTTCTGTCTGGATTTGATATGAAGATATTCCCGTTTCCAACGAAATCTTCAAATCTATCCAAATGTCCACTTGCAGATTCAACAAAAAGTGTTTTTCAGAACTGCTCTATCAAAAGAAAGATCCACCTCTGTTAGCTGAGTTCACACATCACAAACAAGTTTATGAGAATGCTTCTGTCTAGTTTTTATTTGAAGATATTTCCTTTCTCACCATAGACCTGAAAGCTGTCCTAATGTTCACTTCCAGATACTACAGAAAGAGTGTTTCAAAACTGCTGTACGAAAGGGAATGTTCAACTCTGTGACTTGAATGAACACATCACAAAGAAGTTTCTGAGGATGCTGCTGTCTACTTTTTATACGTAATCCCGTTTCCAACGAAATCCTCCAAGCTATCCAAATATCCACTTGCAGATTCCACAGAAAGACTGTTTCAAAACTGCTCTGTCAATAGCAAGTTTCAACTCTGTTAGCTGCGTACATATATCCCAAGGAAGATTCTGAGATTGCTTCTGTCTACTTTTTATGAGAAGATATTTCCCTTTTCACCGTAGGCGTCAAGGCGCTCCAAATGTCCACTTCAGATACTACAAAAAGAGTGTTTCAAACCTACTCTGTGAAAGGGAATATTCAACTCTGTGACTTGAATGCACATATCACAAAGAAGCTTCTGAGAATGCTTCTGTCGAGATTTTCTATGAAGATGTTCCCGTTTCCAACGAAATCCTGAAATCTATCCAAATATCCCCTCGCAGATTCTACAAAAAGAGTGTTTTAAAACTGCTCTGTAAAAAGAAAGGTTCAACTCTGTTAGTTGAGTACACACATCACAAACAAGTTTCACACAATGCTTCTTTCTAGCTTGTAGGGGAAGATATTCCCTTTATCACCATGGGCCTCAATCCGTCCGATAAGTCCACTTCCATATACTACAAAAAGAGCGTTTCAAACCTGCTCTAGGAAAGGCAATGTTCAACTCTGTGACTTGAATGCAGACATCACAGAGCAGTTTCTGAGAATGCTTCTGTCTAGATTTTATAGGAAGATATTCCCGTTTCCAACGAAATCTTCACAGCTATCCAAATATCCACTTGCAGATTCTACAAAAAGAGTGTATCAAAACTGCTCTGTCAAAAGGAAGGTTCTTCTCTGTTAGGTAAGTGCACACGTCATAAAGGAGTTTCTGAGAATGTTTCTGTCTAGTGGTTATGGGAAGATATTTGCTTTTTCACCGTAGGCCTCAGAGCCCTCCAAATATCCACTTGCACATACTACAAAAAGAGTGCTTCAAAGCTGCTCTCTGAAACGGAATGTTCAACTCTATGAGTTGAATGCAAACATCGCAAAGACGTTTCTGAGAATGCTTCTGTCTAGATTTGATATGAAGATATTCCCGTTTCCAACGAAATCTTCATATCTATCCAAATGTCCACTTGCAGATTCAACAAAAAGTGTTTTTCAAAACTGCTGTATCAAAAGAAAGATCCACGTCTGTTAGCTGAGTACACACATCACAAACACGTTTATGAGAATGCTTCTGTCTAGTTTTTATTTGAAGATATATCCTTTCTCACTATAGACCTGAAAGCTGTCCTAAAGTTCACTTCCAGATACTACAGAAAGAGTGTTTCAAAACTGCTGTACGAAAGGGAATTTTCAACTCTGTGACTTGAATGCACACATCACAAAGTAGTTTCTGAGGATGCTGCTGTCTACTTTTTATACGTAATCCCGTTTCCAACGAAATCCTCCAATCTATCCAAATATCCACTTGCAGATTCCACAGAAAGACTGTTTCAAAACTGCTCTGTCAATAGAAAGGTTCAACTCTGTTAGCTGCGTGCGTATATCCCAAAGAAGATTCTGAGATTGCTTCTGTCTAGTTTTTATGGGAAGATATTTCCCTTTTCACCGTAGGCGTCAAGGCGCTCCAAATGTCCAATTCCAGATACTATAAAAAGAGTGTTTCAAACCTACTCTGTGAAAGGGAATATTCAACTCTGTGACTGGAATGCAGATATCACAAAGAAGTTTCTGAGAATGCTCTGTCGAGATTTTATATAAAGATATTCCCGTTTCCAACGAAATCCTGAAATCTATCCAAATATCCCCTCGCAGATTCTACAAAAAGAGTGTTTCAAAACTGCTCTGTAAAAAGAAAGGTTCAACTCTGTTAGTTGAGTACACACATCACAAACAAGTTTCACAGAATGCTCTCTTTCTAGCTTGTAGGGTAAGATATTCCCTTTATCACCATGGGCCTCAAACCGTCCGAAACGTCCACTTCCATATACTACAAAAAGAGCGTTTCAAACCTGCTCTATGAAAGGCAATGTTCAACTCTGTGACTTGAATGCAGACATCACAGAGCAGTTTCTGAGAATGCTTCTGTCTAGATTTTGTAGGAAGATATTCCCGATTCCAACGAAATCTTCACAGCTATCCAAAGATCCACTTGCAGATTCTACAAAAAGAGTGTATCAAAACTGCTCTGTCAAAAGGAAGGTTCTTCTCTGTTAGGTGAGTGCATACGTCATAAAGGAGTTTCTGAGAATGTTTCTGTCTAGTGGTTATGGGAAGATATTTGCTTTTTCACCGTAGGCCTCAGAGCGCTCCAAATATCCACTTGCACATACTACAAAAAGAGTGTTCCAAAGCTGCTCTCTGAAAGGGAATGTTCAACTCTATGAGTTGAATGCAAACATGACAAAGACGTTTCTGAGAATGCTTCTGTCTAGATTTGATAGGAAGATATTCCCGTTTCCAACGAAATCTTCAAATCTATCCAAATGTCCTCTTGCAGATTCAACAAAAAGTGTTTTTCAAAACTGCTGTATCAAAAGAAAGATCCACGTCTGTTAGCTGAGTTCACACATCACAAACAGGTTTATGAGAAACCTTCTGTCTAGTTTTTATTTGAAGATATTGCCTTTCTCACCATAGACCTGAAAGCTGTCCTAATGTTCACTTCCAGATACTACAGAAAGAGTGTTTCAAAACTGCTGTACGAAAGGGAATGTTCAACTCTGTGACTTGAATGAACACATCACAAAGAAGTTTCTGAGGATGCTGCTGTCTACTTTTTATACATAATCCCGTTTCCAACGAAATCCTCCAAGCTATCCAAATATCCACTTGCAGATTCCACAGAAAGACTGTTTCAAAACTGCTCTGTCAATAGAAAGGTTCAACTCTATTAGCTGCGTACATATATCCCAAAGAAGATTCTGAGATTGCTTCTGTCTAGTTTTTATGGGAAGATATTTCCCTTTTCACCGTAGGCGTCAAGGCGCTCCAAATGTCCACTTCCAGATATTACAAAAAGAGTGCTTCAAACCTTCTCTGTGAAAGGGAATATTCAACTCTGTGACTTGAATGCAGATATCACAAAGAAGTTTCTGAGAATGCTTCTGTCGATATTTTATATGAAGATATTCCCGTTTCCAACGAAATCCTGAAATCTATCCAAATATCCCCTCGCAGATTCTACAAAAAGAGTGTTTCAAAACTGCTCTGTAAAAAGAAAGGTTCAACTCTGTTAGTTGAGTACACACATCACAAACAAGTTTCACAGAATGCTTCTTTCTAGCTTGTAGGGGAAGATATTCCCTTTATCACCATGGGCCTCCAACCGTCCAATAAGTCCACTTCCATATACTACAAAAAGAGCGTTTCAAACCTGCTCTATGAAAGGCAATGTTCAACTCTGTGACTTGAATGCAGACATCACAGAGCAGTTTCTGAGAATGCTTCTGTCTAGATTTTATAGGAAGATATTCCGGTTTCCAAAGAAATCTTCACAGCTATCCAAATATCCACTTGCAGATTCTACAAAAAGAGTGTATCAAAACTGCTCTGTCAAAAGGAAGGTTCTTTTCTGTTAGGTGAGTGCATACGTCATAAAGGAGTTTCTGAGAATGTTTCTGTCTAGTGGTTATGGGAAGATATTTGCTTTTTCACCTTAGGCCTCAGAGCGCTCCAAATATCCACTTGCACATACTACAAAAAGAGTGCTTCAAAGCTGCTCTCTGAAACGGAATGTTCAACTCTATGAGTTGAATGCAAACATCACAAAGACGTTTCTGACAATGCTTATCTGTCTAGATTTGATATGAAGATATTCCCGTTTCCAACGAAATCTTCAAATCTATCCAAATGTCCACTTGCAGATTCAACAAAAAGTGTTTTTCAAAACTGCTGTATCAAAAGAAAGATCCACGTCTGTTAGCTGAGTTCACACATCACAAACAGGTTTATGAGAATGTTTCTGTCTAGTTTTTATTTGAAGATATTTCCTTTCTCACCATAGACCTGAAAGCTGTCCTAGTGTTCACTTCCAGATACTACAGAAAGAGTGTTTCAAAACTGCTGTACGAAAGGGAAAGTTCAACTCTGTGACTTGAATGCACACATCACAAAGAAGTTTCTGAGGATGCTGCTGTCTACTTTTTATACGTAATCCCGTTTCCAACGAAATCCTCCAAGCTATCCAAATATCCACTTGCAGATTCCACAGAAAGACTGTTTCAAAAGTGCTCTCTCAATAGAAAGGTTCAACTCTGTTAGCTGCGTGCATATATCCCAAAGAAGATTCTGAGATTGCTTCTGTCTAGTTTTTATGGGAAGATATTTCCCTTTTCACCGTAGGTGTCAAGGCGCTCTAAATGTCCACTTCCAGATACTACAAAAAGAGTGTTTCAAACCTACTCTGTGAAAGGGAATATTCAACTCTGTGACTTGAATGCACATATCACAAAGAAGTTTCTGAGAATGCTTCTGTCGAGATTTTATATGAAGATATTCCCGTTTCCAACGAAATCCTGAAATGTATCCAAATATCCCCTCGCAGATTCTACAAAAAGAGTGTTTCAAAACTGCTCTGTAAAAAGAAAGGTTCAACTTTGTTAGTTGAGTACACACATCACAAACAAGTTTCACAGAATGCTTCTTTCTAGCTTGTAGGGGAAGATATTCCCTTTATCACCATGGGCCTCAGACCGTCCGAAACGTCCACTTCCATATACTACAAAAAGAGGGTTTCAAACCTGCTCTATGAAAGGCAATGTTCAACTCTGTGACTTGAATGCAGACATCACAGAGCAGTTTCTGAGAATGCTTCTGTCTAGATTTTATAGGAAGATATTCCCGTTTCCAACGAAATCTTCACAGCTATCCAAATATCCACTTGCAGATTCTACAAAAAGAGTGTATCAAAACTGCTCTGTCAAAAGGAAGGTTCTTCTCTGTTAGGTGAGTGCATACGTCACAAAGGAGTTTCTGAGAATGTTTCTGTCTAGTGGTTATGGGAAGATATTTGCTTTTTCCCCGTAGGCCTCAGGGCGCTCCAAATGTCCACTTGCAAATGCTACAAAAAGAGTGCTTCAAAGCTGCTCTCTGAAAGGGAATGTTCAACTCTATGAGTTGAATGCAAACATCACAAAGACGTTTCTGAGAATGCTTCTGTCTAGATTTGATATGAAGATATTCCCGTTTCCAACGAAATCTTCAAATCTATCCAAATGTCCACTTGCAGTTTCAACAAAAAGTGTTTTTCAGAACTGCTCTATCAAAAGAAAGATCCACCTCTGTTAGCTGAGTTCACACATCACAAACAAGTTTATGAGAATGCTTCTGTCTAGTTTTTATTTGAAGATATTTCCTTTCTCACCATAGACCTGAAAGCTGTCCTAATGTTCACTTCCAGATACTACAGAAAGAGTGTTTCAAAGCTGCTGTACGAAAGGGAATGTTCAACTCTGTGACTTGAATGCACACATCACAAAGAAGTTTCTGAGGATGCTGCTGTCTACTTTTTATACGTAATCCCGTTTCCAACGAAATCCTCCAGGCTATCCAAATATCCACTTGCAGATTCCACAGAAAGACTGTTTCAAAACTGCTCTGTCAATAGAAAGGTTCAACTCTGTTAGCTGCGTGCATATATCCCAAAGAAGATTCTGAGATTGATTCTGTCTAGTTTTTATGGGAAGATATTTCCCTTTTCACCGTAGGCGTCAAGGCGCTCCAAATGTCCACTTCCAGATACTACAAAAAGAGTGTTTCAAACCTACTCTGTGAAAGGGAATATTCAACTCTGTTACTTGAATGCAGATATCACAAAGAAGTTTCTGAGAATGCTTCTGTCGAAATTTTATATGAAGATATTCCAGTTTCCAACGAAATCCTGAAATCTATCCAAATATCCCCTCGCAGATTCTACAAAAAGAGTGTTTCAAAACTGCTCTGTAAAAAGAAAGGTTCAACTCTGTTAGTTGAGTACACACATCACAAACAAGTTTCACAGAATGCTTCTTTCTAGCTTGTAGGGGAAGATATTCCCTTTATCACCATGGGCCTCCAACCGTCCGAAACATCCACTTCCATATAATAGAAAAGGAGCGTTTCAAACCTGCTCTATGAAAGGCAATGTTCAACTCTGTGACTTGAATGCAGACATCACAGAGCAGTTTCTGAGAATGCTTCTGTCTAGATTTTATAGGAAGATATTCCCGTTTCCAACGAAATCTTCACAGCTATCCAAATATCCACTTGCAGATTCTACAAAAAGAGTGTATCTAAACTGCTCTGTCAAAAGGAAGGTTATTTTCTGTTAGGTGAGTGCATACGTCATAAAGGAGTTTCTGAGAATGTTTCTGTCTAGTGGTTATGGGAAGATATTTGCTTTTTCACCGTAGGCCTCAGAGCGCACCAAATATCCACTTGCACATACTACAAAAAGAGTGCTTCAAAGCTGCTCTCTGAAACGGAATGTTCAACTCTATGAGTTGAATGCAAACATCACAAAGACGTTTCTGAGAATGCGTCTGTCTAGATTTGATATGAAGATATTCCCGTTTCCAACGAAATCTTCAAATCTATCCAAATGTCCACTTGCAGATTCAACAAAAATTGTTTTTCAGAACTGCTCTATCAAAAGAAAGATCCACGTGTGTTAGCTGAGTTCACACATAACAAACAAGTTTATGAGAATGCTTGTCTGTCTAGTTTTTATTTGAAGATATTTCCTTTCTCACCATAGACCTGAAAGCTGTCCTAATGTTCACTTCCAGATACTACAGAAAGAGTGTTTCAAAACTGCTGTACGAAAGGGAATGTTCAACTATGTGACTTGAATGCACACATCACAAAGAAGTTTCTGAGGATGCTGCTGTCTACTTTTTATACGTAATCCCGTTTCCAACGAAATCCTCCAGGCTATCCAAATATCCACTTGCAGATTCCACAGAAAGACTGTTTCAAAACTGCTCTGTCAATAGAAAGGTTCAACTCTGTTAGCTGCGTGCATATATCCCAAAGAAGATTCTGAGATTGCTTCTGTCTAGTTTTTATGGGAAGATATTTCCCTTTTCACCGTAGGCGTCAAGGCGCTCCAAATGTCCACTTCCAGATACTACAAAAAGAGTGTTTCAAACCTACTCTGTGAAAGGGAATATTCAACTCTGTGACTTGAATGCACATATCTCAAGGAAGTTTCTGAGAATGCTTCTGTCGAGATTTTATATGAAGATATTCCCGTTTCCAACGAAATCCTGAAATGTATCCAAATATCCCCTTGCAGATTCTACAAAAAGAGTGTTTCAAAACTGCTCTGTAAAAAGAAAGGTTCAACTCTGTTAGTTGAGTACACACATCACAAACAAGTTTCACACAATGCTTCTTTCTAGCTTGTAGGGGAAGATATTCCCTTTATCACCATGGGCCTCAAACCGTCCGATAAGTCCACTTCCATATACTACAAAAAGAGCGTTTCAAACCTGCTCTATGAAAGGCAATGTTCAACTACTGTGACTTGAATGCAGACATCACAGAGCAGTTTCTGAGAATGCTTCTGTCTAGATTTTATAGGAAGATATTCCCGTTTCCAACGAAATCTTCACAGCTATCCAAATATCCACTTGCAGATTCTACCAAAAGAGTGTATGAAAACTGCTCTGTCAAAAGGAAGGTTCTTCTCTGTTAGGTGAGTGCATACGTCATAAAGGAGTTTCTGAGAATGTTTCTGTCTAGTGGTTATGGGAAGATATTTGCTTTTTCACCGAAGGCCTCAGAGCGCTCCAAATATCCACTTGCACATACTACAAAATGAGTGCCTCAAAGCTGCTCTCTGAAACGGAATGTTCAACACTATGAGTTGAATGCAAACATCGCAAAGACGTTTCCGAGAATGCTTCTGTCTAGATTTGATATGAAGATATTCTCGTTTCCAACGAAATCTTCAAATCTACCCAAATGTCCACTTGCAGATTCAACAAAAATTGTTTTTCAGAACTGCTCTATCAAAAGAAAGATCCACGTGTGTTAGCTGAGTTCACACATAACAAACAAGTTTATGAGAATGCTTCTGTCTTGTTTTTATTAGAAGATATTTCCTTTCTCACCATAGACCTGAAAGCTGTCCTAATGTTCACTTCCAGATACTACAGAAAGAGTGTTTCAAAACTGCTGTACGAAAGGGAATGTTCAACTCTGTGACTTGAATGCACACATCACAAGGATGTTTCTGAGGATGCTGCTGTCTACTTTTATACGTAATCCCGTTTCCAACGAAATCCTCCATGCTATCCAAATATCCACTTGCAGATTCCACAGAAAGACTGTTTCAAAACTGCTCTGTCAATAGAAAGGTTCAACTCTGTTAGCTGCGTGCATATATCCCAAAGAAGATTCTGAGATTGCTTCTGTCTAGTTTTTATGGGAAGATATTTCCCTTTTCACCGTAGGTGTCAAGGCGCTCCAAATGTCCACTTCCAGATACTACAAAAAGAGTGTTTCAAACCTACTCTGTGAAAGGGAATATTCAACTCTGTGAATTCAATGCACATATCACAAAGAAGTTTCTGAGAATGCTTCTGTCGAGATTTTATATGAAGATATTCCCGTTTCCAACGAAATCCTGAAATCTATTCAAATATCCCCTCGCAGATTCTACAAAAAGAGTGTTTCAAAACTGCTCTGTAAAAAGAAAGGTTCAACTCTGTTAGTTGAGTACACACATCACAAACAAGTTTCACAGAATGCTTCTTTCTAGCTTGTAGGGGAAGATATTCCCTTTATCACCATGGGCCTCAAACCGTCCGATAAGTCCACTTCCATATACTACAAAAAGAGCGTTTCAAACCTGCTCTATGAAAGGCAATGTTCAACTCTGTGACTTGAATGCAGACATCACAGAGCAGTTTGCTGAGAATGCTTCTGTCTAGATTTTATAGGAAGATATTCCCGTTTCCAACGAAATCTTCACAGGTATCCAAATATCCACTTGCAGATTCTACAAAAAGAGTGTATCAAAACTGCTCTGTCAAAAGGAAGGTTCTTCTCTGTTAGGTGAGTGCATACCGTCATAAAGGAGTTTCTGAGAAAGTTTCTGTCTAGTGGTTATGGGAAGATATTTGCTTTTTCACCGTAGGCCTCAGAGCGCTCCAAATATCCACTTGCACATACTACAAAAAGAGTGCCTCAAAGCTGTTCTCTGAAACGGAATGTTCAACTCTATGAGTTGAATGCAAACATCACAAAGACGTTTCTGAGAAAGCTTCTGTCTAGATTTGATATGAAGATATTCCCGTTTCCAACGAAATCTTCAAATCTATCCAAATGTCCTCTTGCAGATTCAACAAAAAGTGTTTTTCAGAACTGCTCTATCAAAAGAAAGATCGACGTGTGTTAGCTGAGTTCACACATCACGAACAAGTTTATGAGAATGCTTCTGTCTAGTTTTTATTTGAAGATATTTCCTTTCTCACCATAGAGCTGAAAGCTGTCCTAATGTTCACTTCCAGATACTACAGAAAGAGTGTTTCAAAACTGCTGTACGAAAGGGAATGTTCAACTCTGTGACTTGAATGCACACATCACAAAGAAGTTTCTGAGGATGCAGCTGTCTACTTTTTATACTTAATCCCGTTTCCAACGAAATCCTCCAAGCTATCCAAATATCCACTTGCAGATTCCACAGAAAGACTGTTTCAAAACTGCTCTGTCAATAGAAAGGTTCAACTCTGTTAGCTGCGTGCATATATCCCAAAGCAGATTCTGAGATTGCTTCTGTCTAGTTTTTATGGGAAGATATTTCCCTTTTCACCGTAGGCGTCAAGGCGCTCCAAATGTCCACTTCCAGATACTACAAAAAGAGTGTTTCAAACCTACTCTATGAAAGGGAATATTCAACTCTGTGACTTGAATGCACATATCACAAGGAAGTTTCTGAGAATGCTTTTGTCGAGATTTTCTATGAAGATATTCCCGTTTCCAACGAAATCCTGAAATGTATCCAAATATCCCCTCGCAGATTCTACAAAAAGAGTGTTTCAAAACTGCTCTGTAAAAAGAAAGGTTCAACTCTGTTAGTTGAGTACAAACATCACAAACAAGTTTCACAGAATGCTTCTTTCTAGCTTGAAGGGGAAGATATTCCCTTTATCACCATGGGCCTCAAACCGTCTGAAACGTCCACTTCCATATACTACAAAAAGAGCATTTCAAACCTGCTCTATGAAAGGCAATGTTCAACTCTGTGACTTGAATGCAGACATCACAGAGCAGTTTCTGAGAATGCTTCTGTCCAGACTTTATAGGAAGATATTCCCGTTTCCAAAGAAATCTTCACAGCTATCCAAATATACACTTGCAGATACTGCAAAAAGAGTGTATCAAAAATGCTCTGTCAAAAGGAAAGTTCTTCTCTGCTAGTTGAGTACATACGTCATAAAGAAGTTTCTGAGAATGTTTCTGTCTAGTGGTTATGGGAAGATATTTGCTTTTTCACCGTAGGCCTCAGAGCGCTCCAAATATCCACTTGCACATGCTACAAAAAGAGTGCTTCAAAGCAGCTCTCTGAAACGGAATGTTCAACTCTATGAGTTGAATGCAAACATCACAAAGACGTTTCTGAGAATGCTTCTGTCTAGATTTGATATGAAGATATTCCCGTTTCCAACGAAATCTTCAAATCTATCCAAATGTCCACTTGCAGATTCAACAAAAAGTGTTTTTCAGAACTGCTCTATCAAAAGTAAGATCCACCTCTGTTAGCTGAGTTCACACCTCACAAACAAGTTTATGAGAATGCTTCTGTCTAGTTTTTATTTGAAGATATTTCCTTTCTCACCATAGACCTGAAAGCTATCCTAATGTTCACTTCCAGATACTACAGAAAGAGTGTTTCAAAACTGCTGTACGAAAGGTGATGTTCAACTCTGTGACTTGAATGCACACATCACAAAGAAGTTTCTGAGGATGCTGCTGTCTACTTTTTATACGTAATCCCGTTTCCAACGAAATCCTCCAAGCTATCCAAATATCCACTTGCAGATTCCACAGAAAGACTGTTTCAAAACTGCTCTGTCAATAGAAAGGTTCAACTCTGTTAGCTGCGTGCATATATCCCAAAGAAGATTCTGAGATAGCTTCTGTCTAGTTTTTATGGGAAGATATTTCCCTTTTCACTGTAGGCGTCAAGGCGCTCCAAATGTCCACTTCCAGATACTACAAAAAGAGTGTTTCAAACCTACTCTGTGAAAGGGAATATTCAACTCTGTGACTTGAATGCACATATCACAAGGAAGTTTCTGAGAATGCTTCTGTCGAGATTTTATATGAAGATATTCCCGTTTCCAACGAAATCCTGAAATCTATCCAAATATCCCCTCGCAGATTCTACAAAAAGAGTGTTTCAAAACTGCTCTGTAAAAAGAAAGGTTCAACCCTGTTAGTTGAGTACACACATCACAAACAAGATTCACAGAATGCTTCTTTCTAGCTTGTAGGGGAAGATATTCCCTTTATCACCGTGGGCCTCAAACCGTCCGAAACATCCACTTCCATATACTACAAAAAGAGCGTTTCAAACCTGCTCTATGAAAGGCAATGTTCAACTCTGTGACTTGAATGCAGACATCACAGAGCAGTTTCTGAGAATGCTTCTGTCTAGATTTTATAGGAAGATATTCCCGTTTCCAACGAAATCTTCACAGCTATCAAAATATCCACTTGCAGATTCTACAAAAAGAGTGTATCAAAACTGCTCTGTCAAAAGGAAGGTTCTTCTCTGTTAGGTGAGTGCATACGTCATAAAGGAGTTTCTGAGAATGTTTCTGTCTAGTGGTTATGGGAAGATATTTGCTTTTTCACCGTAGGCCTCAGAGCGCTCCAAATATCCACGTGCACATACTACAAAAAGAGTGCTTCAAAGCTGGTCTCTGAAACGGAATGTTCAACTCTATGAGTTGAATGCAAACATCACAAAGACGTTTCTGAGAATGCTTCTGTCTAGCATTTGATATGAAGATATTCCCGTTTCCAACGAAATCTTCAAATCTATCCAAATGTCCACTTGCAGATTCAACAAAAAGTGTTTTTCAGAACTGCTCTATCAAAAGAAAGATCCACCTCTGTTAGATGAGTTCACACATCACAAACAAGTTTATGAGAATGCTTCTGTCTAGTTTTTATTTGAAGATGCTTCCTTTCTCACCATAGACCTGAAAGCTGTCCTAATGTTCACTTCCAGATACTACAGAAAGAGTGTTTCAAAACTGCTGTACGAAAGGGAATGTTCAACTCTGTGACTTGAATGCACACATCACAAAGAAGTTTCTGAGGATGCTGCGGTCTACTTTTTATACGTAATCCCGTTTCCAACGAAATCCTCCACTCTATCCAAATATCCACTTGCAGATTCCACAGAAAGACTGTTTCAAAACTGCTCTGTCAATAGAAAGGTTCAACTCTGTTAGCTGCGTGCATATATCCCAAAGAAGATTCTGAGATTGCTTCTGTCTAGTTTTTATGGGAAGATATTTCCCTTTTCACCGTAGGTGTCAAGGCGCTCCAAATGTCCACTTCCAGATACTACAAAAAGAGTGTTTCAAACCTACTCTGTGAAAGGGAATATTCAACTCTGTGACTTGAATGTACATATCACAAAGAAGTTTCTGAGAATGCTTCTGTCGAGATTTTATATGAAGATATTCCCGTTTCCAACGAAATGCTGAAATGTATCCAAATATCCCCTCGCAGATTCTACAAAAAGAGTGTTTCAAAACTGCTCTGTAAAAAGAAAGGTTCAACTCTGTTAGTTGAGTACACACATCAAAAACAAGTTTCACAGAATGCTTCTTTCTAGCTTGTAGGGGAAGATATTCCCTTTATCACCATGGGCCTCAAACCGTCCGAAACGTCCACTTCCATATACTACAAAAAGAGCGTTTCAAACCTGCTCTATGAAAGGCAATGTTCAACCCTGTGACTTCAATGCAGACATCACAGAGCAGTTTCTGAGAATGCTTCCGTCTAAATTTTATAGGAAGATATTCCCCTTTCCAACGAAATCTTCACAGCTATCCAAATATCCACTTGCAGATTCTACAAAAAGAGTGTATCAAAACTGCTCTGTCAAAAGGAAGGTTCTTCTCTGTTAGGTGAGTGCATACGTCATAAAGGAGTTTCTGAGAATGTTTCTGTCTAGTGGTTATGGGAAGATATTTGCTTTTTCACCATAGGCCTCAGAGCGCTCCAAATATCCACTTGCACATAGTACAAAAAGAGTGCTTCAAAGCTGCTCTCTGAAAGGGAATGTTCAACTCTATGAGTTGAATGCTAACATCACAAAGACGTTTCTGAGAATGCTTCTGTCTAGATTTGATATGAGGATATTCCCGTTTCCAACGAAATCTTCAAATCTATCCAAATGTCCACTTGCAGATTCAACAAAAAGTGTTTTTCAGAACTGCCCTATCAAAAGAAAGATCCACCTCTGTTAGCTGAGTTCACACATCACAAACAAGTTGATGAGAATGCTTCTGTCTAGTTTTTATTTGAAGATATTTCCTTTCTCACCATAGACCTGAAAGCTGTCCTAATGTTCACTTCCAGATACTACAGAGTGTTTCAAAACTGCTGTACGAAAGGGAATGTTCAACTCTGTGACTTGAATGCACACATCACAAAGAAGTTTCTGAGGATGCTTCTGTCCAGCCTTTATAGGAAGATATTCCTGTTTCCAACGAAATCTTCACAGCTATCCAAATATCCACTTGCAGATTCCACAGAAAGACTGTTTCTAAACTGCTCTTTCAATAGAAAGGTTCAACTGTGTTAGCTGCGTGCATATATCCCAAAGAAGATTCTCAGATTGCTTCTGTCTACTTTTTATGAGAAGATATTTCCCTTTTCACCGTAGGCATCAAGGCGCTCCAAATGTCCACTTCCAGATACTAGAAAAAGAGTGTTTCAAACCTACTCTGTGAAAGGGAATATTCAACTTTGTGACTTGAATGCACATATCACAAAGAAGCTTCCGAGAATGCATCTGTCGAGATTTTATATGAAGATATTCCCCTTTCCAACGAAATCCTGAAATGTATCCAAATATCCCCTCGCAGATTCTACAAAAAGAGTGTTTCAAAACTGCTCTGTAAAAAGAAAGGTTCAACTCTGTTAGTTGAGTACACACATCACAAACAAGTTTCACAGAATGCTTCTTTCTACCTTGTAGGTGAAGATATTTCCTTTATCACCATGGGCCTCAAACCGTCCGAAACGTCCACTTCCATATACTAAAAAAAGAGTGTTTCAAACCTGCTCTATGAAAGGCAATGTTCAACTCTGTGACTTGAATGCAGACATCACAGAGCAGTTTCTGAGAATGCTTCTGTTTAGATTTTATAGGAAGATATTCCCGTTTCCAACGAATTCTTCACTGATATCCAAATATCCACTTGCAGAGTCTACAAAAAGAGTGTATCAAAACTGCTCTGTCAAAAGGAAGGTTCTTCTCGGTTAGTTGAGTACATACGTCATAAAGAAGTTTCTGAGAATGTTTCTGTCTAGTGGTTATGGGAAGATATTTGCTTTTTCCCCGTAGGCCTCAGGGCGCTCCAAATGTCCACTTGCACATGCTACAAAAAGAGTGCTTCAAAGCTGCTCTCTGAAACCGAATGTTCAACTCTATGAGTTGAATGCAAACATCACAAAGACGTTTCTGAGAATGCTTCTGTCTAGATTTGATATGAAGATATTCCCGTTTCCAACGAAATCTTCATATCTATCCAAATGTCCACTTGCAGATTCAACAAAAAGTGTTTTTCAAAACTGCTGTATCAAAAGAAAGATCCAGGTCTGTTAGCTGAGTTCACACATCACAAACAAGTTTATGAGAATGCTTCTGTCTAGTTTTTATTTGAAGATATTTCCTTTCTCACCATAGACCTGAAAGCTGTCCTAATGTTCACTTCCAGATACTACAGAAAGAGTGTTTCAACACTGCTGTACGAAAGGGAATGTTCAACTCTGTGACTTGAATGCACACATCACAAAGTAGTTTCTGAGGATGCTGCTGTCTACTTTTTATACGTAATCCCGTTTCCAACGAAATCCTCCAAGCTATCCAAATATCCACTTGCAGATTCCACAGAAAGACTGTTTCAAAACTGCTCTGTCAATAGAAAGGTTCAACTCTTTTAGCTGCGTGCATATATCCCAAAGAAAATTCTGAGATTGCTTCTGTCTAGTTTTTATGGGAAGATATTTCCCTTTTCACCGTAGGTGTCAAGGCGCTCCAAATGTCCACTTCCAGATACTACAAAAAGAGTATTTCAAACCTACTATGTGAAAGGCAATATTCAACTCTGTGACTTGAATGCAGATATCACAAAGAAGTTTCTGAGAATGCTTCTGTCGAGATTTTACATGAAGATATTCCCGTTTCCAACCAAATGCTGAAATCTATCCAAATATCTCCTCGCAGATTCTACAAAAAGAGTGTTTCAAAACTGCTCTGTGAAAAGAAAGGTTCAACTCTGTTAGTTGAGTACACACATCACAAACAAGTTTCACACAATGCTTTCTTTCTATCTTGTAGGGGAAGATATTCCCTTTATCACCATGGGCCTCCAACCGTCCGAAACATCCACTTCCATATACTACAAAAAGAGCGTTTCAAACCGGCTCTATGAAAGGCAATGTTCAACTCTGTGACTTGAATGCAGACATCACAGAGCAGTTTCTGAGAATGCTTCTGTCTAGATTTTATAGGAAGATATTCCCGTTTCCAACGAAACCTTCACAGCTATCCAAATATCCACTTGCAGATTCTACAAAAAGAGTGTATCAAAACTGCTCTGTCAAAAGGAAGGTTCTTTTCTGTTAGGTGAGTGCATACGTCATAAAGGAGTTTCTGAGAATGTTTATCTGTCTAGTGGTTATGGGAAGATATTTGCTTTTTCACCGTAGGCCTCAGAGCGCTCCAAATATCCACTTGCACATACTACAAAAAGAGTGCCTCAAAGCTGCTCTCTGAAACCGAATGTTCAACTCTATGAGTTGAATGCAAACATCACAAAGACGTTTCTGAGAATGCTTCTGTCTAGATTTGATATGAAGATATTCCCCTTTCCAACGAAATCTTCAAATCTATCCAAATGTCCACTTGCAGATTCAACAAAAAGTGTTTTTCAGAACTGCTCTATCAAAAGAAAGATCCACCTCTGTTAGCTGAGTTCACACATCACAAACAAGTTTATGAGAATGCTTCTGTCTAGTTTTTATTTGAAGATATATCCTTTCTCACTATAGACCTGAAAGCTCTCCTAAAGTTCACTTCCAGATACTACAGAAAGAGTGTTTCAAAACTGCTGTACGAAAGGGAATGTTCAACTCTGTGACTTGAATGCACACATCACAAGGAAATTTCTGAGGATGCTGCTGTCTACTTTTTATACGTAATCCCGTTTCCAAAGAAATCCTCCAAGCTATCCAAATACCCACTTGCAGATTCCACAGAAAGACTGTTTCAAAACTGCTCTGTCAATAGAAAGGTTCAACTCTGTTAGCTGCGTGCATATATCCCAAAGAAGATTTTGAGATTGCTTCTGTCTAGTTTTTATGGGAAGATATTTCCCTTTTCACCGTAGGTGTCAAGGTGCTCCAAATGTCCACTTCCAGATACTACAAAAAGAGTGTTTCAAACCTACTCTGTGAAAGGGAATATTCAACTCTGTGACTTGAATGCACATATCACAAAGAAGTTTCTGAGAATGCTTCTGTCGAGATTTTATATGAAGATATTACCTTTTCCAACGAAATCCTGAAATCTATCCAAATATCCCCTCGCAGATTCTACAAAAAGAGTGTTTCAAAACTGCTCTGTAAAAAGAAAGGTTCAACTCTGTTACTTGAGTACACACATCACAAACAAGTTTCACAGAATGCTTCTTTCTAGCTTGTAGTGGAAGATATTCCCTTTATCACCATGGGCCTCAAACCGTCCGAAAAGTCCACTTCCATATACTACAAAAAGAGCGTTTCAAACCTGCTCTATGAAAGGCAATGTTCAACTCTGTGACTTGAATGCAGACATCACAGAGCAGTTTCTGAGAATGCTTCTGTCTAGATTTTATAGGAAGATATTCCCGTTTCCAACGAAATCTTCACAGCTATCCAAATATCCACTTGCAGATTCTACAAAAAGAGTGTATCAAAACTGTTCTGTCGAAAGGAAGGTTCTCCTCTGTTAGGTGAGTGCATACGTCATAAAGGAGTTTCTGAGAATGTTTCTGTCTAGTGGTTATGGGAAGATATTTGCTTTTTCACCGTAGGCCTCAGAGCGCTCCAAATATCCACTTGCACATACTACAAAAAGAGTGCCTCAAAGCTGCTCTCTGAAACGGAATGTTCGACTCTATGAGTTGAATGCAAACATCACAAAGACGTTTCTGAGAATGCTTCTGTCTAGATTTGATATGAAGATATTCCCGTTTCCAACGAAATCTTCAAATCTATCCTAATGTCCACTTGCAGATTCAACAAAAAGTGTTTTTCAGAACTGCTCTATCAAAAGAAAGATCCACCTCTGTTAGCTGAGTTCACACATCACAAACAAGTTTATGAGAATGCTTATCTGTCTAGTTTTTATTTGAAGATATATCCTTTCTCACTATAGACCTGAAAGCTCTCATAAAGTTCACTTCCAGATACTACAGAAAGAGTGTTTCAAAACTGCTGTACGAAAGGGAATGTTCAACTCTGTGACTTGAATGCACACATCACAAGGATGTTTCTGAGGATGCTGCAGTCTACTTTTTATACGTAATCCCGTTTCCAACGAAATCCTCCAATCTATCCAAATATCCACTTGCAGATTCCACAGAAAGACTGTTTCAAAACTGCTCTGTCAACAGAAAGGTTCAACTCTGTTAGCTGCGTGCATATATCCCAAAGAAGATTCTCAGATTGCTTCTGTCTAGTTTTTATGGGAAGATATTTCCCTTTTCACCGTAGGCGTCAAGGCGCTCCAAATGTCCACTTCCAGATACTATAAAAAGAGTGTTTGAAACCTACTCTGTGAAAGGGAATATTCAACTCTGTGACTTGAATGCAGATATCACAAGGAAGTTTCTGAGAATGCTTCTGTCGAGATTTTATATGAAGATATTCTCGTTTCCAACGAAATCCTGAAATCTATCCAAATATCCCCTCACAGATTCTACAAAAAGAGTGTTTCAAAACTGCTCTGTAAAAAGAAAGGTTCAACTCTGTTAGTTGAGTACACACATCACAAACAAGTTTCACAGAATGCTTCTTTCTAGCTTGTAGGGGAAGATATTCCCTTTATCACCATGGGCCTCCAACCGTCCGAAACATCCACTTCCCTATACTACAAAAAGAGCGTTTCAAACCTGCTCTATGAAAGGCAATGTTCAACTCTGTGACTTGAATGCAGACATCACAGAGCAGTTTCTGAGAATGCTTCTGTCTAGATTTTATAGGAAGATATTCCCGTTTCCAACGAAATCTTCACAGCTATCCAAATATCCACTTGCAGATTCTACAAAAAGAGTGTATCAAAACTGCTCTGTCAAAAGGAAGGTTCTTCTCTGTTAGGTGAGTGCATACGTCCTAAAGCAGTTTCTGAGAATGTTTCTGTCTAGTGGTTATAGGAAGATATTTGCTTTTTCCCCGTAGGCCTCAGGGCGCTCGAAATGTCCACTTGCACATGCTACAAAAAGAGTACTTCAAAGCTGCTCTCTGAAAGGGAATGTTCAACTCTATGAGTTGAATGCAAACATCACAAAGACGTTTCTGAGAATGCTTCTGTCTAGATTTGATATGAAGATATTCCCGTTTCCAACGAAATCTTCAACTCTATCCAAATGTCCACTTGCAGATTCAACAAAAAGTGTTTTTCAGAACTGCTCTATCAAAAGAAAGATCCACCTCTGTTAGCTGAGTTCACACATCACAAACAAGTTTATGAGAATGCTTCTGTCTAGTTTTTATTGGAAGGTATTTCCTTTCTCACCATAGACCTGAAAGCTGTCCTAATGTTCACTTCCAGATACTACAGAAAGAGTGTTTCAAAACTGCTGTACGAAAGGGAATGTTCAACTCTGTGACTTGAATGCACACATCACAAAGAAGTTTCTGAGGATGCTGCTGTCTACTTTTTATACGTAATCCCGTTTCCAATGAAATCCTCCAAGCTATCCAAATATCCACTTGCAGATTCCACAGAAAGACTGTTTCAAATCTGCTCAGTCAATAGAAAGGTTCAACTCTGTTAGCTGCGTGCATATATCACAAAGAAGATTCTGAGATTGCTTCTGTCTAGTTTTTATGGGAAGATATTTCCCTTTTCACCGTAGGCGTCAAGGCGCTCCAAATGTCCACTTCCAGATACTACAAAAAGAGTGTTTCAAACCTACTCGGTGAAAGGGAATATTCAACTCTGTGACTTGAATGCAGATATCACAAAGAAGTTTCTGAGAATGCTTCTGTCGAGACTTTTATATGAAGATATTCCCGTTTCCAACGAAATCCTGAAATCTATCCAAATATCCCCTCGCAGATTCTACAAAAAGAGTGTTTCAAAACTGCTCTGTAAAAAGAAAGGTTCAACTCTGTTAGTTGAGTACACACATCCCAAACTAGTTTCACACAATGCTTCTTTCTAGCTTGTAGGGGAAGATATTCCCTTTATCACCATGGTCCTCAAACCGTCCGAAACGTCCTCTTCCATATAGTACAAAAAGAGCGTTTCAAACCTGCTCTATGAAAGGCAATGTTCAATTCTGTGACTTGAATGCAGACATCACAGAGCAGTTTCTGAGAATGCTTCTGTCTAGTATTTTATAGGAAGATATTCCCGTTTCCAACGAAATCTTCACAGCTATCCAAATATCCACTTGCAGATTCTACAAAAAGAGTTTATCAAAACTGCTCTGTCAAAAGGAAGGTTCTTCTCTGTTAGGTGAGTGCATACTTCATAAAGGAGTTTCTGAGAATGTTTCTGTCTAGTGGTTATGGGAAGATATTTGCTTTTTCCCCGTAGGTCTCAGGGCGCTCCAAATGTCCACTTGCACATGCTACAAAAAGAGTGCTTCATATCTGCTCTATGGAAGGGAATGTTCAACTCTATGAGTTGAATGCAAACATCACAAAGACGTTTCTGAGAATGCTTCTGTCTAGATTTGATATGAAGATATTCCCGTTTCCAACGAAATCTTCAATCTATCCAAATATCCACTTGCAGATTCAACAAAAAGTGTTTTTCAGAACTGCTCTATCAAAAGAAAGATCCACCTCTGTTAGCTGAGTTCACACATCACAAACAAGTTTATGAGAATGCTTCTGTCTAGTTTTTATTTGAAGATATTTCCTTTCTCACCATAGAGCTGAAAGCTGTCCTAATGTTCACTTCCAGATACTACAGAAAGAGTGTTTCAAAACTGCTGTACGAAAGGGAATGTTCAACTCTGTGACTTGAATGCACACATAACAAAGAAGTTTCTGAGGATGCTACTGTCTACTTTTTATACGTAAACCCGTTTCCAACGAAATCCTCCAAGCTATCCAAATATCCACTTGCAGATTCCACAGAAAAACTGTTACAAAACTGCTCTGTCAATAGAAAGGTTCAACTCTGTTAGCTGCGTGCATATATCCCAAAGAAGATTCTGAGATTGCTTTCTGTCTAGTTTTTATGGGAAGATATTTCCCTTTTCACCGTAGGTGTCAAGGCGCTCAAAATGTCCACTTCCAGATACTACAAAAAGAGTGTTTCAAACCTACTCTGTGAAAGGGAATATTCAACTCTGTCACTTGAATGCAGATATCACAAAGAAGTTTCTGAGAATTCTTCTGTCGAGATTTTATATGAAGATATTCCCGTTTCCAACGAAATCCTGAAATCTATCCAAATATCCCCTCGCAGATTCTACAAAAAGAGTGTTTCAAAACTGCGCTGTAAAAAGAAAGGTTCAACTCTGTTAGTTGAGTACACACATCACAAACAAGTTTCACAGAATGCTTCTTTCTAGCTTGTAGGGGAAGATATTCCCTTTATCACCGTGGGCCTCAAACCGTCCGATAAGTCCACTTCCATATACTACAAAAAGAGCGTTTCAAACCTGCTCCATGAAAGGCAATGTTCAACTCTGTGACTTGAATGCAGACATCACAGAGCAGTTTACTGAGAATGCTTCTGTCTAGATTTTATAGGAAGATATTCAAGTTTCCAACGAAATCTTCACAGCTATCCAAATATCCACTTGCAGATTCTACAAAAAGAGTGTATCAAAACTGCTCTGTCAAAAGGAAGGTTCTTTTCTGTTAGGTGAGTGCATACGTCATAAAGGAGTTTCTGAGAATGTTTCTGTCTAGTGGTCATGGGAAGATATTTGCTTTTTCACCGTAGGCCTCAGAGCGCTCCAAATATCCACTTGCACATACTACAAAAAGAGTGCCTCAAAGCTGCTCTCTGAAACGGAATGTTCAACTCTATGAGTTGAATGCAAACATCACAAAGACGTTTCTGAGAATGCTTCTGTCTAGATTTGATATGAAGATATTCCCGTTTCCAACGAAATCTTCATATCTATCCAAATGTCCACTTGCAGATTCAACAAAAAGTGTTTTTCAGAACTGCTCTATCAAAAGAAAGATCCACCTCTGTTAGCTGAGTTCACACATCACAAACAAGTTTATGAGAATGCTTCTGTCTAGTTTTTATTTGAAGATATTTCCTTTCTCACCATAGAGCTGAAAGCTGTCCTAATGTTCACTTCCATATACTACAGAAAGAGTGTTTCAAAACTGCTGTACGAAAGGGAATGTTCAACTCTGTGACTTGAATGCACACATCACAAAGGAGTTTCTGAGGATGCTGCTGTCTACTTTTTATACGTAATCCCGTTTCCAACGAAATCCTCCAAGCTATCCAAATATCCACTTGCAGATTCCACAGAAAGACTCTTTCAAAACTGCTCTGTCAATAGAAAGGTTCAACTCTGTTAGCTGCGTGCATATATCCCAAAGAAGATTCTGAGATTGCTTCTGTCTAGTTTTTATGGGAAGATATTTCCCTTTTCACCGTAGGCGTCAAGGTGCTCCAAATGTCCACTTCCAGATACTACAAAAGGAGTGTTTCAAACCTACTCTGTCAAAGGGAATATTCAACTCTGTGACTTGAATGCACATATCACAAAGAGGTTTCTGAGAATGTTTCTGTCGAGATTTTATATGAAGATATTCCCGTTCCCAACGAAATCCTCAAATCTATCCAAATATCCCCTCACAGATTCTACAAAAAGAGTGTTTCAAAACTGCTCTTTAAAAAGAAAGGTTCAACTCTGTTAGTTGAGTACACACATCACAAACAAGTTTCATAGAATGCTTCTTTCTAGCTTGTAGGGGAACATATTCCCTTTATCACCATGGGCCTCAAACCGTCCGAAACGTCCACTTCCATATACTACAAAAAGAGCGTTTCAAACCTGCTCTATGAAAGGCAATGTTCAACTCTATGACTTGAATGCAGACATCACAGAGCAGTTTCTGAGAATGCTTCTGTCTAGATTTTGTAGGAAGATATTCCCGATTCCAACGAAATCTTCACAGCTATCCAAATATCCACTTGCAGATTCTACAAAAAGAGTGTATCAAAACTGCTCTGTCAAAAGGAAGGTTCTTCTCTGTTAGGTGAGTGCATACGTCATAAAGGAGTTTCTGAGAATGTTTCTGACTAGTGGTTATGGGAAGATATTTGCTTTTTCACCGTAAGCCTCAGAGCGCTCCAAATATCCACTTGCACATACTACAAAAAGAGTGCCTCAAAGCTGCTCTCTGAAACGGAATGTTCAACTCTATGAGTTGAATGCAAACATCGCAAAGACGTTTCTGAGAATGCTTCTGTCTAGATTTGATATGAAGATATTCCCGTTTCCAACGAAATCTTCAAATCTATCCAAATGTCCACTTGCAGATTCAACAAAAAGTGTTTTTCAGAACTGCTCTATCAAAAGAAAGATCCACCTCTGTTAGCTGAGTTCACACATCACAAACAAGTTTATGAGAATGCTTCTGTCTAGTTTTTATTTGAAGATATTCCCTTTTTCACCACAGACCTGAAAGCTGTCCTAATGTTCACTTCCAGATACTACAGAAAGAGTGTTTCAAAGCTGCTGTACGAAAGGGAATGTTCAACTCTGTGACTTGAATGCACACATCACAAAGAAGTTTCTGAGGATGCTGCTGTCTACTTTTTATACGTAATCCCGTTTCCAACGAAATCCTCCAAGCTATCCAAATATCCACTTGCAGATTCCACAGAAAGACTGTTTCAAAACTGCTCTGTCAATAGAAAGGTTCAACTCTGTTAGCTGCGTGCGTATATCCCAAAGAAGATTCTGAGATTGCTTCTGTCTAGTTTTGATGGGAAGATACTTCCCTTTTCACCGTAGGCGTCAAGGCGCTCCAAATGTCCACTTCCAGATACTACAAAAAGAGTGTTTCAAACCTACTCTGTGAAAGGGAATATTCAACTCTGTGACTTGAATGCACATATCACAAGGAAGTTTCTGAGAATGCTTCTGTCGAGATTTCATATGAAGATATTCCCGTTTCCAACGAAATCCTGAAATCTATCCAAATATCCCCTCGCAGATTCTACAAAAAGAGTGTTTCAAAACTGCTCTTTAAAAAGAAAGGTTCAACTCTGTTAGTTGAGTACACACATCACAAACAAGTTTCACAGAATGCTTCTTTCTAGCTTGTGGTGGAAGATATTCCCTTTATCACCATGGGACTCAAACCGTCCGAAACGTCCACTTCCATATACTACAAAAAGAGCGTTTCAAACCTGCTCTATGAAAGGCAATGTTCAACTCTGTGACTTGAATGCAGACATCACAGAGCAGTTTCTGAGAATGCTTCTGTCTAGATTTTATAGGAAGATATTACCGTTTCCAACGAAATCTTCACAGCTATCCAAATATCCACTTGCAGGTTCTACAAAAAGAGTGTATCAAAACTGCTCTGTCAAAAGGAAGGTTCTTCTCTGTTAGGTGAGTGCATACGTCATAAAGGAGTTTCTGAGAATGTTTCTGTCTAGTGGTTATGGGAAGATATTTGCTTTTTCACCGTAGGCCTCAGAGCGCTCCAAATATCCACTTGCACATACTACAAAAAGAGTGCTTCAAAGCTGCTCTCTGAAACGGAACGTTCAACTCTATGAGTTGAATGCAAACATCACAAAGACGTTTCTGAGAATGCTTCTGTCTAGATTTGATATGAAGATATTCCCGTTTCCAACGAAATCTTCAAATATATCCAAATGTCCGCTTGCAGATTCAACAAAAAGTGTTTTTCAGAACTGCTCTATCAAAAGAAAGATCCACCTCTGTTAGCTGAGTTCACACATCACAAACAAGTTTATGAGAATGCTTCTGTCTAGTTTTTATTTGAAGATATTTCCTTTCTCACCATAGACGTGAAAGCTGTCCTAATGTTCACTTCCAGATACTATAGAAAGAGTGTTTCAAAACTGCTGTACGAAAGGGAATGTTCAACCCTGTGACTTGAATGCACACATCACAAAGAAGTTTCTGAGGATGCTGCTGTCTACTTTTTATACGTAATCCCGTTTCCAACGAAATCCTCCAAGCTATCCAAATATCCACTTGCAGATTCCTCAGAAAGACTGTTTCAAAACTGCTCTGTCAATAGAAAGGTTCAACTCTGTTAGCTGCGTGCATATATCCCAAAGAAGATTCTGAGATTGCTTCTGTCTAGTTTTTATGGGAAGATATTTCCCTTTTCACCGTAGGTGTCAAGGCGCTCCAAATGTCCACTTCCAGACACTACAAAAAGAGTGTTTCAAACCTACTCTGTGAAAGGGAATATTCAACTCTGTGACTTGAATGCACATATCACAAAGAAGTTTCTGAGAGTGCTTCTGTCGAGATTTTATATGAAGATATTCCCGTTTCCAGCGAAATCCTGAAATGTATCCAAATATCCCCTCGTAGATTCTACAAAAAGAGTGTTTCAAAACTGCTCTGTAAAGAGAAAGGTTCAACTCTGTTAGTTGAGTGCACACATCACAAACAAGTTTCACAGAATGCTGCTTTCTAGCTTGTAGGGGAAGATATTCCCTTTATCACCATGGGCCTCAAACCGTCCGAAACGTCCACTTCCATATACTACAAAAAGAGCGTTTCAAACCTGCTCTATGAAAGGCAATGTTCAACTCTGTGACTTGAATGCAGACATCACAGAGCAGTTTCTGAGAATGCTTCTGTCTAGATTTTATAGGAAGATATTCCCGTTTCCAACGAACTCTTCACAGCTATCCAAATATCCACTTTCAGATTCTACAAAAAGAGTGTATCAAAACTGCTCTGTCAAAAGGAAGGTTCTTCTCTGTTAGGTGAGTGCATACGTCATAAAGGAGTTTCTGAGAATGTTTCTGTCTAGTGGTTATGGGAAGATATTTGCTTTTTCACCGTAGGCCTCACAGCGCTCCAAATATCCACTTGCACATACTACAAAAAGAGTGCTTCAAAGCTGCTCTCTGAAACGGAATGTTCAACTCTATGAGTTGAATGCAAACATCACAAAGACGTTTCCGAGAATGCTTCTGTCTAGATTTGATATGAAGATATTCCCGTTTCCAACGAAATCTTCAAATCTATCCAAATGTCCACTTGCAGATTCAACAAAAAGTGTTTATCAGAACTGCTCTATCAAAAGAAAGATCCACCTCTGTTAGCTGAGTTCACACATCACAAACAAGTTTATGAGAATGCTTCTGTCTAGTTTTTATTTGAAGATATATCCTTTCTCACTATAGACCTGAAAGGTGTCCTAAAGTTCACTTCCAGATACTACAGAAAGAGTGTTTCAAAACTGCTGTACGAAAGGGAATGTTCAACTCTGTGACTTGAATGCACACATCACAAGGATGTTTCTGAGGATGCTGCTGTCTACTTTTTATACGTAATCCTGTTTCCAACGAAATCCTCCAAGCTATCCAAATATCCACTTGCAGATTCCACAGAAAGAATGTTTCAAAACTGCTCTGTCAATAGAAAGGTTCAACTCTGTTAGCTGCGTGCATATATCCCAAAGAAGATTCTGAGATTGCTTCTGTCTAGTTTTTGTGGGAAGATATTTCCCTTTTCACCGTAGGCGTCAAGGCGCTCCAAATGTCCACTTCCAGATACTACAAAAAGAGTGTTTCAAACCTACTGTGTGAAAGGGAATATTCAACTCTGTGACTTGAATGCACATATCACAAAGAAGTTTCTGAGAATGCTTCTGTCGAGATTTTTTATGAAGATATTCCCGTTTCCAACGAAATCCTGAAATCTATCCAAATATCCCCTCGCAGATTCTACAAAAAGAGTGTTTCAAAACTGCTCTGTAAAAAGAAAGGTTCAACTCTGTTAGTTGAGTACAGACATCACAAACAACTTTCACAGAATGCTTCTTTCTAGCTTGTAGGGGAAGATATTCCCTTTATCACCATGGGCCTCCAACCGTCCGAAACATCCACTTCCATATACTACACAAAGAGCGTTTCAAACCTGCTCTATGAAAGGCAATGTTCAACTCTGTGACTTGAATGCAGACATCACAGAGCAGTTTCTGAGAATGCTTCTGTCCAGACTTTATAGGAAGATATTCCCGTTTCCAACGAAATCTTCACAGCTATCCAAATATCCACTTGCAGATACTACAAAAAGAATGTATCAAAAATGCTCTGTCAAAAGGAAAGTTCTTCTCTGCTAGTTGAGTACATACGTCATAAAGAAGTTTCTGAGAATGTTTCTGTCTAGTGGTTATGGGAAGATATTTTCTTTTTCACCGTAGGCCTCAGAGCGCTCCAAATATCCAGTTGCACATACTACAAAAAGAGTGCCTCAAAGCTGCTCTCTGAAACGGAATGTTCAACTCTGTGAGTTGAATGCAAACATCGCAAAGACGTTTCTGAGAATGCTGCTGTCTAGATTTGATATGAAGATATTCCCGTTTCCAACGAAATCTTCAAATCTATCCAAATGTCCACTTGCAGATTCAACAAAAAGTGTTTTTCAGAACTGCTCTATCAAAAGAAAGATCCACCTCTGTTAGCTGAGTTCACACATCACAAACAAGTTTATGAGAATGCTTCTGTCTAGTTTTTATTTGAAGATATTTCCTTTCTCACCATAGACCTGAAAGCTGTCCTAATGTTCACTTCCAGATACTACAGAAAGAGTGTTTAAAAACTGCTGTACGAAAGGGAATGTTCAACTCTGTGACTTGAATGCACACATCACAAAGAAGATTCTGAGGATGCTGCTGTCTACTTTTTCTACGTAATCCCGTTTCCAACGAAATCCTCCAAGCTATCCAAATATCCACTTGCAGATTCCACAGAAAGACTGTTTCAAAACTGCTCTGTCAATAGAAAGGTTCAACTCTATTAGCTGCGTGCATATATCCCAAAGAAGATTCTGAGATTGCTTCTGTCTAGTTTTTATGGGAAGATATTTCCCTTTTCACCGTAGGAGTCAAGGCACTCCAAATGTCCACTTCCAGATGCTACAAAAAGAGTGTTTCAAACCTACTCTGTGAAAGGGAATATTCAACTCTGTGACTTGAATGCACATATCACAAAGAAGTTTCTGAGAATGCTTTTGCCGAGATTTTATATTAAGATATTCCCGTTTCCAACGAAATCCTGAAATCTATCCAAATATCCCCTCGCAGATTCTACAAAAAGAGTGTTTCAAAACTGCTCTGTAAAAAGAAAGGTTCCACTCTGTTAGTTGAGTACACACATCACAAACAAGTTTCACAGAATGCTTCTTTCTAGCTTGTAGGGGAAGATATTCCCTTTATCACCATGGGCCTCAAACCGTCTGAAACGTCCACTTCCATATACTACAAAAAGAGCATTTCAAACCTGCTCTATGAAATGCAATGTTCAACTCTGTGACTTGAATGCAGACATCACAGAGCAGTTTCTGAGAATGCTTCCGTCTAGATTTTATAGGAAGATATTCCCCTTTCCAACGAAATCTTCACAGCTATCCAAATATCCACTTGCAGATTCTACAAAAAGAGTGTATCAAAACTGCTCTGTCAAAAGGAAGGTTCTTCTCTGTTAGGTGAGTGCATACGTCATAAAGGAGTTTCTGAGAATGTTTCTGTCTAGTGGTTACGGGAAGATATTTGCTTTTTCACCTTAGGCCTCAGAGCGCTCCAAATATCCACTTGCACATACTACAAAAAGAGTGCTTCAAAGCTGCTCTCTGAAACGGAATGTTCAACTCTATGAGTTGAATGCAAACATGACAAAGACGTTTCTGAGAATGATTCTGTCTAGATTTATGACGATATTCCCGTTTCCAACGAAATCTTCAAATCTATCCAAATGTCCACTTGCAGATTCAACAAAGTGTTTTTCAGAACTACTCTATCAAAAGAAAGATCCACCTCTGTTAGCTGAGATCACACTTCACAAACAAGTTTATCAGAATGCTTCTGTCTAGTTTTTATTTGAAGATATTTCCTTTCTCACCATAGACCTGAAAGCTGTCCTAATGTTCACTTCCAGATACTACAGAAAGAGTGTTTCAAAACTGCTGTACGAAAGGGAATGTTCAAATCTGTGGCTTGAATGCACATATCACAAAAAAGTTTCTGAGGATGCTGCTGTCTACTATTTATACGTAATCCCGTTTCCAACGAAATCCTCCAAGCTATCCAAATATCCACTTGCAGATTCCACAGAAAGACTGTTTCAAAACTGCTCTGTCAATAGAAAGGTTCAACTCTGTTAGCTGCGTGCATATATCCCAAAGCGGATTCTGAGATTGCTTCTGTCTAGTTTTTATGGGAAGATATTTCCCTTTTAACCATAGGCGTCAAGGCGCTCCAAATGTCCACTTCCAGATACTACAAAAAGAGTGTTTCAAACCTACTCTGTGAAAGGGAATATTCACTTCTGTGACTTGAATGCAGATATCACAAAGAAGTTTCTGAGAATGCTTCTGTCGAGATTTTATATGAAGATATTCCCGTTTCCAACGAAATCCTGAAACCTATCCAAATATCCCCTCGCAGATTCTACAAAAAGAGTGTTTCAAAACTACTCTGTAAAAAGAAAGGTTCAACTCTGTTAGTTGAGTACACACATCACAAACAAGTTTCACAGAATGCTTCTTTCTAGCTTGTAGGGGAAGATATTCCCTTTATCACCATGGGCCTCCAACCGTCCGAAACTTCCACTTCCATATACTACAAAAAGAGCGTTTCAAACCTGCTCTATGAAAGGCAATGTTCAACTCTGTGACTTGAATGCAGACATCACAGAGCAGTTTCTGAGAATGCTTTTGTTTAGATTTTATAGGAAGATATTCCCGTTTCCAACGAATTCTTCACAGATATCCAAATATCCACTTGCAGATTCTACAAAAAGAGTTTATCAAAACTGCTCTGTCAAAAGGAAGGTTCTTCTGTGTTAGTTGAGTACATACGTCATAAAGAAGTTTCTGAGAATGTTTCTGTCTAGTGGTTATGGGAAGATATTTGCTTTTTCACCGTAGGCCTCAGAGCGCTCCAAATATCCACTTGCACATACTACAAAAAGAGTCCTTCAAAGCTGCTCTCTGAAACGGAATGTTCAACTCTATGAGTTGAATGCAAACATCACAAAGACGTTTCTGAGAATGCTTCTGTCTAGATTTGATATGAAGATATTCCCGTTTCCAACGAAATCTTGAAATCTATCCAAATGTCCACTTGCAGATTCAACAAAGTGTTTTTCAGAACTGCTCTATCAAAAGAAAGATCCACGTGTGTTAGCTGAGTTCACACATCACAAACAAGTTGATGAGAATTCTTTCTGTCTAGTTTTTATTTGAAGATATTGCCTTTCTCACCATAGACCTGAAAGCTGTCCTAATGTTCACTTCCAGATACTACAGAAACAGTGTTTCAAAACTGCTGTATGAAAGGGAATGTTCAACTCTGTGACTTGAATGCACACATCACAAAGAAGTTTCTGAGGATGCTGCTGTCTACTTTTTATACGTAATCCCGTTTCCAACGAAATCCTCCAAGCTATCCAAATATCCACTTGCAGATTCCACAGAAAGACTGTTTCAAAACTGCTCTGTCAATAGAAAGGTTCAACTCTATTAGCTGCGTACATATATCCCTAAGAAGATTCTGAGATTGCTTCTGTCTAGTTTTTATTGGAAGATATTTCCCTTTTCACCGTAGGTGTCAAGGCGCTCCAAATGTCCACTTCCAGATACTACAAAAAGAGTGTTTCAAACCTACTCTGTGAAAGGGAATATTCAACTCTGTGACTTGAATGCACATATCACAAAGAAGTTTCTGAGAATGCTCCTGTCGAGATTTTGTATGAAGATATTCCCGTTTCCAACGAAATCCTGAAATCTATCCAAATATCCCCTCGCAGATTCTACAAAAACAGTGTTTCAAAACTGCTCTGTGAAAAGAAAGGTTCAACTCTCTTAGTTGAGTACACACATCACAAACAAGTTTCACAGAATGCTTCTTTCTAGCTTGTAGGGGAAGATATTCCCTTTATCACCATGGGCCTCCAACCGTCCGAAACATCCACTTCCATATACTACAAAAAGAGCGTTTCAAACCTGCTCTATGAAATGCAATGTTCAACTCTGTGACTTGAATACAGACATCACAGAGCAGTTTCTGAGAATGCTTCTGTCTAGATTTTATAGGAAGATATTCCCGTTTCCAACGAAATCTTCACAGCTATCCAAATATCCACTTGCAGATTCTACAAAAAGAGTGTATCAAAACTGCTCTGTCAAAAGGAAGGTTCTTCTCTGTTAGTTGAGTACATACGTCATAAAGGAGTTTCTGAGAATGATTCTGCCTAGTGGTTATGGGAAGATATTTGCTTTTTCACCGTAGGCCTCAGTAGCGCTCCAAATATCCACTTGCACATACTACAAAAAGAGTGCTTCAAAGCTGCTCTCTGAAAGGGAATGTTCAACTCTATGAGTTGAATGCAAACATCACAAAGACGTTTCTGAGAATGCTTCTGTCTAGATTTGTTATGAAGATATTCCCGTTTCCAACGAAATCTTCAAATCTATCCAAATGTCCACTTGCAGATTCAACAAAAAGTGTTTTTCAGAACTGCTCTATCAAAAGAAAGATCCACCTCTGTTAGCTGAGTTCACACATCACAAAAAAGTTTATGAGAATGCTTCTGTCTAGTTTTTATTTGAAGATATTGCCTTTCTCACCCTAGACCTGAAAGCTGTCCTAATGTTCTCTTCCAGATGCTACAGAAAAAGTGTTTCAAAACTGCTGTACGAAAGGGAATGTTCAACTCTGTGACTTGAATGCACACATCACAAAGAAGTTTCTGACGATGCTGCTGTCTACTTTTTATACGTAATCCCGTTTCCAACGAAATCCTCCAAGCTATCCAAATGTCCACTTGCAGATTCCACAGAAAGACTGTTTCAAAACTGCTCTGTCAATAGAAAGGTTCAACTCTGTTAGCTGCGTGCATATATCCCAAGGAAGATTCTGAGATTGCTTCTGTCTAGTTTTTATGGGAAGATATTTCCCTTTTCACCGTAGGCATCAAGGCGCTCCAAATGTCCACTTCCAGATACTACAAAAAGAGTGTTTCAAACCTACTCTGTGAAAGGGAATATTCAACTCTGTGACTTGAATGCACATATCACAAAGAAGTTTCTGAGAATGCTTCTGTCGAGATTTTATATGAAGATATTCCCGTTTCCATCGAAATCCTGAAATCTATCCAAATATCCGCTCGCAGATTCTACAAAAAGAGTGTTTCAAAACTGCTCTGTGAAAAGAAAGGTTCAACTCTGTTAGTTGAGTACACACATCACAAACAAGTTTCACAGAATGCTTCTTTCTAGCTTGTAGGGGAAGATATTCCCTTTATCACCATGGGCCTCAAACCTTCCGAAAAGTCCACTTCCATATACTACAAAAAGAGCGTTTCAAACCTGCTCTATGAAAGGCAATGTTCAACTCTGTGACTTGAATGCAGACATCACAGAGCAGTTTCTGAGAATGCTTTCTGTCTAGATTTTATAGGAAGATATTCCCGTTTCCAACGAAATCTTCACAGCTATCCAAATATCCACTTGCGGATTCTACAAAAAGAGTGTATCAAAACTGCTCTGTCAAAAGGAAGGTTCTTCTCTGTTAGGTGAGTGCACACGTCATAAAGGAGTTTCTGAGAATGTTTCTGTCTAGTGGTTATGGGAAGATATTTGCTTTTTCACCGTAGGCCACAGAGCGGTCCAAATATCCACTTGCACATACTACAAAAAGAGTGCCTCAAAGCTGCTCTCTGAAACGGAATGTTCAACTCTATGAGTTGAATGCAAACATCACAAAGACGTCTCTGAGAATGCTTCTGTCTAGATTTGATATGAAGATATTCCCGTTTCCAACGAAATCTTCAAATCTATCCAAATGTCCACTTGCAGATTCAACAAAAAGTGTTTTTCAGAACTTCTCTATCAAAAGAAAGATCCACCTCTGTTAGCTGAGTTCACACATCAGAAACAAGTTTATGAGAATGCTTCTGTCTAGTTTTATTTGAAGATATATCCTTTCTCACTATAGACCTGAAAGCTCTCCTAAAGTTCACTTCCAGATACTACAGAAAGAGTGTTTCAAAACTGCTGTATGAAAGGGAATGTTCAACTCTGTGACTTGAATGCACACATCACAAAGCAGTTTCTGAGGATGCTGCTGTCTACTTTTTATACCTAATCCCGTTTCCAACGAAATCCTCCAAGCTATCCAAATATCCACTTGTAGATTCCACAGAAAGACTGTTACAAAACTGCTCTGTCAATAGAAAGGTTCAACTCTGTTAGCTGCGTGCATATATCACAAAGAAGATTCTGAGATTGCTTCTGTCTACTTTTTATGGGAAGATATTTCCCTTTTCACCGTAGGCGTCAAGGCGCTCCAAATGTCCACTTCCAGATACTACAAAAAGAGTGTTTCAAACCTACTCTGTGAAAGGGAATATTCAACTCTGTGACTTGAATGCACATATCACAAAGAAGTTTCTGAGAATGCTTCTGTCGAGATTTTATATGAAGATATTCCTGTTTCCAACGAAATCCTGAAATCTATCCAAATATCCCCTCGCAGATTCTACAAAAAGAGTGTTTCAAAACTGCTCTGTGAAAAGAAAGGTTCAACTCTGTTAGTTGAGTACACACATCACAAACAAGTTTCACAGAATGCTTCTGTCTAGTTTTTATTTGAAGATATTTCCTTTCTCGCCATAGACCTGAAAGCTGTCCTAATGTTCACTTCCAGATACTACAGAAAGAGTGTTTCAAAACTGCTGTATGAAAGGGAATGTTCAACTCTGTGACTTGAATGCAGACATCACAGAGCAGTTTCTGAGAATGCTTCTGTCTAGATTTTATAGGAAGATATTCCCGTTTCCAACGAAATCTTCACAGCTATCCCAAATATCCACTTGCAGATTCTACAAAAAGAGTGTATCAAAACTGCTCTGTCAAAAGGAAGGTTCTTTTCTGTTAGGTGAGTGCATACGTCATAAAGGAGTTTCTGAGAATGTTTCTGTCTAGTGGTTATGGGAAGATATTTGCTTTTTCCCCGTAGGCCTCAAAGCGCTCCAAATGTCCACTTGAACATACTACAAAAAGAGTGCTTCAAAGCTGCTCTCTGAAAGGGAATGTTCAACTCTATGAGTTGAATGCAAACATCACAAAGACGTTTCTGAGAATGCTTCTGTCTAGATTTGATATGAAGATATTCCCGTTTCTAACGAAATCTTCAAATCTATCCAAATGTCCACTTGCAGATTCAACAAAAAGTGTTTTTCAGAACTGCTCTATCAAAAGAAAGATCCACCTCTGTTAGCTGAGTTCACACTTCACAAACAAGTTTATCAGAATGCTTCTGTCTAGTTTTTATTTGAAGATATTTCCTTTCTCACCATAGACCTGAAAACTGTCCTAATGTTCACTTGCAGATACTACAGAAAGAGTGTTTCAAAACTGCTGTACGAAAGGGAATGTTCAACTCTGTGACTTGAATGCAGACATCACAAAGAAGTTTCTGAGGATGCTGCTGTCTACTTTTTATACTTAATCCCGTTTCCAACGAAATCCTCCAAGCTATCCAAGTATCCACTTGCAGATTCCACAGAAAGACTGTTTCAAAACTGCTCTGTCAATAGAAAGGTTCAACTCTGTTAGCTGCGTGCATATATCCCAAAGAAGATTCTGAGATTGCTTCTGTCTAGTTTTTATGGGAAGATATTTTGCTTTTCACCGTAGGTGTCAAGGCGCTCCAAATGTCCACTTCCAGATACTACAAAAAGAGTGTTTCAAACCTACTCTGTGAAAGGGAATATTCAACTCTGTGACTTGAATGCACATATCACAAAGAAGATTCTGAGAATGCTTCTGTCGAGATTTTATATGAAGATATTCCCGTTTCCAACGAAATCCTGAAATCTATCCAAATATCCCCTCGCAGATTCTACAAAAAGAGTGTTGCAAAACTGCTCTGTAAAAAGAAAGGTTCAACTCTGTTAGTTGAGTACACACATCACAAACAAGTTTCACAGAATGCTTCTTTCTAGCTTGTAGGGGAAGATATTCCCTTTATCACCATGGGCCTCAAACCGTCCGAAAAGTCCACTTCCATATACTAAAAAAAGAGCATTTCAAACCTGCTCTATGAAAGGCAATGTTCAACTCTGTGACTTGAATGCAGACATCACAGAGCAGTTTCTGAGAATGCTGCTGTCTAGATTTTATAAGAAGATATTCCCGTTTCCAGCAAAATCTTCACAGCTATCCAAATATCCACTTGCAGATTCTACAAAAAGAGTGTATCAAAACTGCTCTGTCAAAAGGAAGGTTCTTCTCTTTTAGGTGAGTGCATACGTCATAAAGGAGTTTCTGAGAATGTTTCTGTCTAGTGGTTATGGGAAGATATTTGCCTTTTCACCGTAGGCCTCAGAGCGCTCCAAATATCCACTTGCACATACTACAAAAAGAGTGCCTCACAGCTGCTCTCTGAAACGGAATGTTCAACTCTATGAGTTGAATGCAAACATCGCAAAGACGTTTCTGAGAATGCTTCTGTCTAGATTTGATATGAAGATATTCCCGTTTCCAACGAAATCTTCAAATCTATCCAAATGTCCACTTGCAGATTCAACAAAAAGTGTTTTTCAGAACTGCTCTATCAAAAGAAAGATCCACCTCTGTTAGCTGAGTTCACACATCACAAGCAAGTTTATGAGAATGCTTCTGTCTAGTTTTTATTTGAAGATATTTCCCTTCTCACCATAGACCTGAAAGCTGTCCTAATGTTCACTTCCAGATACTACAGAAAGAGTGTTTCAAAACTGCTGTACGAAAGGGAATGTTCAACTCTGTGACTTGAATGCACACATCACAAAGAAGTTTTCTGAGGATGCTGCTGTCTACTTTTTATACGTAATCCCGTTTCCAACGAAATCCTCCAAGCTATCCAAATATCTACTTGCAGATTCCACAGAAAGACTATTTCAAAACTGCACTGTCAATAGAAAGGTTCAACTCTCTTAGCTGCGTGCATATATCCCAAAGAAGATTCTGAGATTGCTTCTGTGTAGTTTTTAAGGGAAGATATTTCCCTTTTCACCGTAGGCGTCAAGGCGCTCCAAATGTCCACTTCCAGATACTACAAAAAGAGTGTTTCAAACCTACTCTGTGAAAGGGAATATTCAACTCTGTGACTTGAATGCACATATCACAAGGAAGTTTCTGAGAATGCTTCTGTCGAGATTTTATATGAAGATATTCCCCTTTCCAACGAAATCCTGAAATCTATCCAAATATCCCCTCGCAGATTCTACAAAAAGATTGTTTCAAAACTGCTCTGTAAAAAGAAAGGTTCAACTCTGTTAGTTGAGTACACACATCACAAACAAGTTTCACAGAATGCTTCTTTCTAGCTTGTAGGGCAAGATATTCCCTTTAACACCATGGGCCTCAAACCGTCTGAAACGTCCACTTCCATATACTACAAAAAGAGCGTTTCAAACCTGCTCTATGAAAGGCAATGTTCAACTCTGTGACTTGAATGCAGACATCACAGAGCAGTTTCTGAGAATGCTTCTGTCTAGGTTTTATAGGAAGATATTCCCTTTTCCAACGAAATCTTCCAAGCTATCCAAATATCCACTTGCAGATTCTACAAAAAGAGTGTATCAAAACTGCTCTGTCAAAAGGAATGTTCTCCTCTGTTAGTTGAGTACATACGTCATAAAGGAGTTTCTGAGAATGTTTCAGTCTAGTGGTTATGGGAAGATATTTGCTTTTTCACCGTAGGCCTCAGAGCGCTCCAAATATCCACTTGCACATACTACAAAAAGAGTGCCTCAAAGCTGCTCTCTGAAACGGAATGTGCAACTCTATGAGTTGAATGCAAACATCACAAAGACGTTTCTGAGAATGCTTCTGTCTAGATTTGATATGAAGATATTCCCGTTTCCAACGAAATCTTCAAATCTATCCAAATGTCCACTTGCAGATTCAACAAAAAGTGTTTTTCAGAACTGCTCTATCAAAAGAAAGATCCACCTCTGTTAGCTTAGTTCACACATCAGAAACAAGTTTATGAGAATGCTTCTGTCTAGTTTTTATTTGAAGATATTTCCTTTCTCACCATAGACCTGAAAGCTGTCCTAATGTTCACTTCCAGATACTACAGAAGGAGTGTTTCAAAACTGCTGTACGAAAGGGAATGTTCAACTCTGTGACTTGAATGCACACATCACAAAGAAGTTTCTGAGGATGCTGCTGTCTTCTTTTTATACGTAATCCCGTTTCCAACGAAATCCTCCAAGCTATCCAAGTATCCACTTGCAGATTCCACAGAAAGACTGTTTCAAAACTGCTCTGTCAATAGAAAGGTTCAACTCTGTTAGCTGCGTGCATATATCCCAAAGAAGATTCTGAGATTGCTTGTGTCTACTTTTTATGAGAAGATATTTCCCTTTTCACCGTAGGCGTCAAGGCGCTCCAAATGTCCACTTCCAGATACTACAAAAAGAGTGTTTCAAACCTACTCTGTGAAAGGGAAGATTCAACTCTGTGACTTGAATGCACATATCACAAAGAAGCTTCTGAGAATGCTTCTGTCGAGATTTTATATGAAGATACTCCCGTTTCCAACGAAATCCTGAAATCTATCCAAATATCCCCTCGCAGATTCTACAAAAAGAGTGTTTCGAAACTGCTCTGTAAAAAGAAAGGTTCAACTCTGTTAGTTGAGTACACACATCACAAACAAGTTTCACAGAATGCTTCTTTCTAGCTTGTAGGGGAAGATATTTCCTTTATCACCATGGTCCTCAAACCGTCCGAATCGTCCACTTCCATATACTAAAAAAAGAGTGTTTGAAACCTGCTCTATGAAAGGCAATGTTCAACTCTGTGACCTGAATGCAGACATCACAGAGCAGTTTCTGAGAATGCTTCCTGTCTAGATTTTATAGGAAGATATTCCCGTTTCCAACGAAATCTTCACAGCTATCCAAATATCCACTTGCAGATTCTACAAAAAGAGTGTATCAAAACTGCTCTGTCAAAAGGAAGGTTCTCCTCTGTTAGGTGAGTGCATACGTCATAAAGGAGTTTCTGAGAATGTTTCTGTCTAGTGGTTATGGGAAGATATTTGCTTTTTCACCGTAGGCCTCAGAGCGCTCCAAATATCCACTTGCACATACTACAAAAAGGGTGCCTCAAAGCTGCTCTCTGAAACGGAATGTTCAACTCTATGAGTTGAATGCAAACATCACAAAGACGTTTCTGAGAATGCTTCTGTCTAGTATTTGATATGAAGATATTCCCGTTTCCAACGAAATCTTCAAATCTATCCAAATGTCCACTTGCAGATTCAACAAAAAGTGTTTTTCAGAACTGCTCTATCAAAAGAAAGATTCACCTCTGTTAGCTGAGTTCACACATCACAAACAAGTTTATGAGAATGCTTCTGTCTAGTTTTTATTTGAAGATATTTCCTTTCTCACCATAGAGCTGAAAGCTGTCCTAATGTTCACTTCCAGATACTACAGAAAGAGTGTTTCAAAACTGCTGTACGAAAGGGAATGTTCAACTCTGTGACTTGAATGCACACATCACAAAGTAGTTTCTGAGGATGCTGCTGTCTACTTTTTATACGTAATCCCGTTTCCAACGAAATCCTCCAAGCTATCCAAATATCCACTTGCAGATTCCACAGAAAGACTGTTTCAAAACTGCTCTGTCAATAGAAAGGTTCAACTCTGTTAGCTGCGTGCATATATCCTAAAGAGGATTCTGAGATTGCTTCTGTCTAGTTTTTATGGGAAGATATTTCCCTTTTCACCGTAGGCGTCAAGGCGCTCCAAATGTCCACTTCCAGATACTACAAAAAGAGTGTTTCAAACCTACTCTGTGAAAGGGAATATTCAACTACTGTGACTTGAATGCACATATCACAAGGAAGTTTCTGAGAATGCTTCTGATCGAGATTTTGATACTGAAGATATTCCCGTTTCCAACGAAATCCTGAAATGTATCCAAATATCCCCTCGCAGATTCTACAAAAAGAGTGTTTCAAAACTGCTCTGTAAAAAGAAAGGTTCAACTCTGTTAGTTGAGTACACACATCACAAACAAGTTTCACAGAATGGTTCTTTCTAGCTTGTAGGGAAAGATATTCCCTTTATCACCATGGGCCTCAAACCGTCCGAAACGTCCACTTCCATATACTACAAAAAGAGCGTTTCAAACCTGCTCTAGGAAAAGCAATGTTCAACTCTGTGACTTGAATGCAGACATCACAGAGCAGTTTCTGAGAATGCTTCTGTCTAGATTTTATAGGAAGATATTCCCGTTTCCAACGAAATCTTCACAGCTATCCAAATATCCACTTGCAGATTCTACAAAAAGAGTGTATCAAAACAGCTCTGTCAAAAGGAAGGTTCTTTTCTGTTAGGTGAGTGCATACGTCATAAAGGAGTTTCTGAGAATGTTTCTGTCTAGTGGTTATGGGAAGATATTTGCTTTTTCCCCGTAGGCCTCAGGGCGCTCCAAATGTCCACTTGCACATGCTACAAAAAGAGTGCTTCAAAGCTGCTCTCTGAAAGGGAATGTTCAACTCTATGTGTTGAATGCAAACATCACAAAGACGTTTCTGAGAATGCTTCTGTCTAGATTTGATATGAAGATATTCCCGTTTCCAACGAAATCTTCAAATCTATCCAAATGTCCTCTTGCAGATTCAACAAAAAGTGTTTTTCAGAACTGCTCTATCAAAAGAAAGATCCACCTCTGTTAGCTGAGTTCACACATCACAAACAAGTTTATGAGAATGCTTCTGTCTAGTTTTTATTTGAAGATATTTCCTTTCTCACCATAGACCTGAAAGCTGTCCTAATGTTCACTTCCAGATACTACACAAAGAGTGTTTCAAAACTGCTGTACGAAAGGGAATGTTCAACTCTGTGACTTGAATGCACACATCACAAAGAAGTTTCTGAGGATGCTGCTGTCTACTTTTTATACGTAATCCCGTTTCCAACGAAATCCTCCAATCTATGCAAATATCCACTTGCAGATTCCACAGAAAGAGTGTTTCAAAACTGCTCTGTCAATAGAAAGGTTCAACTCTGTTAGCTGCGTGCATATATCACAAAGAAGATTCTGAGATTGCTTCTGTCTAGTTTTTATGGGAAGATATTTCCCTTTTCACCGTAGGTGTAAAGGCGCTCCAAATGTCCACTTACAGATACTACAAAAAGAGTGTTTCAAACCTACTCTGTGAAAGGGAATATTCAACTCTGTGACTTGAATGCAGATATCACAATGAAGTTTCTGAGAATGCTTCTGTCGAGATTTTATATGAAGATATTCCCGTTTCCAACGAAATCCTGAAATCTATTCAAATATCCCCTCGCAGATTCTTCAAAAAGAGTGTTTCAATACTGCTCTGTAAAAAGAAAGGTTCAACTCTGTTAGTTGAGTACACACATCACAAACAAGTTTCACAGAATGATTCTTTCTAGCTTGTAGGGGAAGATATTCCCTGTATCACCTTGGGCCTCAAACCGTCCGAAACGTCCACTTCCATATACTAAAAAAAGAGTGTTTGAAACCTGCTCTATGAAAGGCAATGTTCAACTCTGTGACATGAATGCAGACATCACAGAGCAGTTTCTGAGAATGCTTCTGTCTAGATTTTATAGGAAGATATTCCCGTTTCCAACGAAATCTTCACAGCTATCCAAATATCCACTTGCAGATTCTACAAAAAGAGTGTATCAAAACTTCTCTGTCAAAAGGAAGGTTCTTCTCTGTTAGTTGAGTACATACGTCATAAAGGAGTTTCTGAGAATGTTTCTGTCTAGTGGTTATGGGAAGATATTTGCTTTTTCACCGTAGGCCTCAGAGCGCTCCAAATATCCACTTGCACATACTACAAAAAGAGTGCCTCAAAGCTGCTCTCTGAAATGGAATGTTCAACTCTATGAGTTGAATGCTAACATCACAAAGACGTTTCTGAGAATGCTTCTGTCTAGATTTGATATGAAGATATTCCCTTTTCCAAGGAAATCTTCAAAACTATCCAAATGTCCACTTGCAGATTCAACAAAAAGTGTTTTTCAGAACTGCTCTATCAAAAGAAAGATCCACCGTTGTTAGCTGAGTTCACACATCACAAACAAGTTTATGAGAATGCTTTCTGTCTAGTTTTTATTTGAAGATATTTCCTTTCTCACCATAGAGCTGAAAGCTGTCCTAATGTTCACTTCCAGATACTACAGAAAGAGTGTTTCAAAACTGCTGTACGAAAGGAAATGTTCAACTCTGTGACTTGAATGCACACATCACAAAGAAGTTTCTGAGGATGCTGCTGTCTACTTTTTATACGTAATCCTGTTTCCAACGAAATCCTCCAAGCTATCCAAATATCCACTTGCAGATTCCACAGAAAGAATGTTTCAAAACTGCTCTGTCAATAGAAAGGTTCAACTCAGTTAGCTGCGTGCATATATCCCAAAGAAGATTCTGAGATTGCTTCTGTCTAGTTTTTATGGGAAGATATTTCCCTTTTCACCGTAGGCATCCAGGCGCTCCAAATGTCCACTTCCAGATACTACAAAAAGAGTGTTTCAAACCTACTCTGTGAAAGGGAATATTCAACTCTGTGACTTGAATGCACATATCACAAGGAAGTTTCTGAGAATGCTTCTGTCGAGATTTTATATGAAGATATTCCCCTTTCCAATGAAATCCTGAAATCTATCCAAATATCCCCTCGCAGATTCTACAAAAAGAGTGTTTCAAAACTGCTCTGTAAAAAGAAAGGTTCAACTCTGTTAGTTGACTACACACATCACAAACAAGTTTCACAGAATGCTTCTTTCTAGCTTGTAGGGGAAGATATTCCCTTTATCACCATGGACCTCAAACCGTCTGAAACGTCCACTTCCATATACTACAAAAAGAGCATTTCAAACCTGCTCTATGAAAGGCAATGTTCAACTCTGTGACTTGAATGCAGACATCACAGAGCAGTTTCTGAGAATGCTTCTGTCTAGATTTTATAGGAAGATATTCCCGTTTCCAACGAAATCTTCACAGGTATCCAAATATCCACTTGCAGATTCTACAAAAAGAGTGTATCAAAACTGCTCTGTCAAAAGGAAGGTTCTTCTCTGTTAGTTGAGTACATACGTCATAAAGGAGTTTCTGAGAATGTTTCTGTCTAGTGGTTATGGGAAGATATTTGCTTTTTCACCTTAGGCCTCAGAGCGCTCCAAATATCCCCTTGCACATACTACAAAAAGAGTGCTTCAAAGCTGCTCTCTGAAACGGAATGTTCAACTCTATGAGGTGAATGCAAACATGACAAAGACGTTTCCGAGAATGCTTCTGTCTAGATTTGATATGAAGATATTCCCGTTTCCAACGAAATCTTCAAATCTATCCAAATGTCCACTTGCAGATTCAACAAAAAGTGTTTTTCAAAACTGCTCTATCAAAAGAAAGATCCACGTCTGTTACCTGAGTTCACACATCACAAACAAGTTTATGAGAATGCTTCTGTCTAGTTTTTATTTGAAGCATATTTCCTTTCTCACCATAGACCTGAAAGCTGTCCTAATGTTCACTTCCAGTTACTACAGAAAGAGTGTTTCAAAACTGCTGTACGAAAGGGAATGTTCAACTCTGTGACTTGAATGCACACATCACAAAGAAGTTTCTGAGGATGCTGCTGTCTACTTTTTATACTTAATCCCGTTTCCAACGAAATCCTCCAAGCTATCCAAATATCCACTTGCAGATTCCACAGAAACACTGTTTCAAAACTGCTCTGTCAATAGAAAGGTTCAACTCTGTTAGCTGCGTGCATATATCCCAAAGAAGATTCTGAGATTGCTTCTGTCTAGCTTTATGGGAAGATATTTCCCTTTTCACCGTAGGCGTCAAGGCACTCCAAATGTCCACTTCCAGATACTACAAAAAGAGTGTTTCAAACCTACTCTGTGAAAGGGAATATTCAACTCTGTGACTTGAAGGCAGATATCACAAAGAAGTTTCTGAGAATGCTTCTGTCGAGATTTTATATGAAGATATTCGCGTTTCCAACGAAATCCTGAAATCTATCCAAATATCCCCTCGCAGATTCTACAAAAAGAGTGTTTCAAAACTGCTCTGTAAAAAGAAAGGTTCAACTCTGTTAGTTGAGTACACACATCACAAACAAGTTTCACAGAATGCTTCTTTCTAGCTTGTAGGGGAAGATATTCCCTTTATCACCGTGGGCCTCAAACCGTCCGATAAGTCCACTTCCATATACTACAAAAAGAGCGTTTCAAACCTGCTCCATGAAAGGCAATGTTCAACTCTGTGACTTGAATGCAGACATCACAGAGCAGTTTCTGAGAATGCTTCTGTCCAGACTTTATAGGAAGATATTCCCGTTTCCAACGAAATCTTCACAGCTATCCAAATATCCACTTGCAGATTCTACAAAAAGAGTGTATCAAAACTGCTCTGTCAAAAGGAAGGTTCTTCTCTGTTAGTTGAGTACAAACGTCATAAAGGAGTTTCTGAGAATGTTTCTGTCTAGTGGTTATGGGAAGATATTTGTTTTTTCACCGTAGGCCTCAGAGCGCTCCAAATATCCACTTGCACATACTACAAAAAGAGTGCCTCAAAGCTGCTCTCTGAAACGGAATGTTCAACTCTATGAGTTGAATGCAAACATCGCAAAGACGTTTCTGAGAATGCTTCTGTCTAGATTTGATATGAAGATATTCCCGTTTCCAAAGAAATCTTCCAATCTATCCAAATGTCCACTTGCAGATTCAACAAAAAGTGTTTTTCAAAACTGCTGTATCGAAAGAAAGATCCACCTCTGTTAGTTGAGTTCACACATCACAAACAAGTTTTTAAAAGTGCTTCTCTCTAGTTTTTATTTGAAGATATATCCTTTCTCACTATAGACCTGAAAGCTGTCCTAATGTTCACTTCCAGATACTACAGAAAGAGTGTTTCAAAACTGCTGTACGAAAGGGAATGTTCAACTCTGTGACTTGAATGCACACATCACAAAGTAGTTTCTGAGGATGCTGCTGTCTACTTTTTATACGTAATCCCGTTTCCAACGAAATCCTCCAAGCTATCCAAATATCCACTTGCAGATTCCACAGAAAGATTGTTTCAAAACTGCTCTGTCAATAGAAATGTTCAACTCTGTTAGCTGCGTGCATATATCCCAAAGAAGATTCTGAGATTGCTTCTGTCTAGTTTTTATGGGAAGATATTTCCCTTTTCACCGTAGGCGTCAAGGCGCTCCAAATGTCCACTTCCAGATACTACAAAAAGAGTGTTTCAAACCTACTCTGCGAAAGGGAATATTCAACTCTGTGAGTTGAATGCAGATATCACAAAGAAGTTTCTGAGAATGCTTCTGTCGAGAGTTTATATGAAGATATTCCCGTTTCCAACGAAATCCTGAAATCTATCCAAATATCCCCTCGCAGATTCTACAAAAAGAGTGTTTCAAAACTGCTCTGTAAAAAGAAAGGTTCAACTCTGTTAGTTGAGTACACACATCACAAACAAGTTTCACAGAATGCTTCTTTCTAGCTTGTAGGGGAAGATATTCCCTTTATCACCATGGGCCTCCAACCGTCCGAAACATCCACTTCCATATACTACAAAAAGAGCGTTTCAAACCTGCTCTATGAAAGGCAATGTTCAACTCTGTGACTTGAATGCAGACATCACAGAGCAGTTTCTGAGAATTCTTCTGTCTAGTATTTTATAGGAAGATATTCCCGTTTCCAACCAAATCTTCATAGCTATCCAAATATCCACTTGCAGATTCTACAAAAAGAGTGTATCAAAACTGCTCTGTCAAAAGGAAGGTTCTTTTCTGTTAGGTGAGTGCATACGTCATAAAGGAGTTTCTGAGAATGTTTCTGTCTAGTGGTTATGGGAAGATATTTGCTTTTTCACCGTAGGCCAGAGAGCGATCAAAATATCCACTTGCACATACTACAAAAAGAGTGCTTCAAAGCTGCTCTCTGAAAGTGAATGTTCAACTCTATGAGTTGAATGGAAACATCACAAAGACGTTTCTGAGAATGCTTCTGTCTAGATTTGATATGAAGATATTCCCGTTTCCAACGAAATCTTTAAATCTATCCAAATGTCCACTTGCAGATTCAACAAAAAGTGTTTTTCAAAACTGCTCTATCAAAAGAAAGATCCACCTCTGTTAGCTGAGTACACACATCACAAACAAGTTTATGAGAATGCTTCTGTCTAGTTTTTATTTGAAGATATTTCCTTTCTCACCATAGACCTGGAAGCTGTCCTAATGTTCACTTCCAGATACTACAGAAAGAGTGTTTCAAAACTGCTGTACGAAAGGGAATGTTCAACTCTGTGACTTGAATGCACACATCACAAAGAAGTTTCTGAGGATGCTGCTGTCTACTTTTTATACGTAATCCCGTTTCCAAGGAAATCCTCCAAGCTATCCAAATATCCACTTGCAGATTCCACAGAAAGACTGTTTCAAAACTGCTCTCTCAATAGAAAGGTTCAACTCTGTTAGCTGCGTGCATATATCCCAAAGAAGATTCTGAGATTGCTTCTGTCTAGTTTTTATCGGAAGATATTTCCCTTTTCACCATAGGTGTCAAGGTGCTCCAAATGTCCACTTGCAGATGCTACAAAAAGAGTGTTTCAAACCTACTCTGTGAAAGGGAATATTCAACTCTGTGACTTGAATGCAGATATCACAAAGAAGTTTCTGAGAATGCTTCTGTCGAGATTTTATATGAAGATATTCTCGTTTAAAACGAAATCCTGAAATCTATCCAAATATCCCCTCACAGATTCTACAAAAGAGTGTTTCAAAACTGCTCTGTAAAAAGAAAGGTTCAACTCTGTTAGTTGAGTACACACATCACAAACAAGTTTCACAGAATGCTTCTTTCTAGCTTGTAGGGGAAGATATTCCCTTTATCACCATGGGCCTCAAACCGTCCGATAAGTCCACTTCCATATACTACAAAAAGAGAGTTTCAAACCTGCTCTATGAAAGGCAATGTTCAACTCTGTGACTTGAATGCAGACATCACAGAGCAGTTTCTGAGAATGCTTCTGTCTAGATTTTATAGGAAGATATTCCCGTTTCCAACCAAATCTTCATAGCTATCCAAATATCCACTTGCAGATTCTACAAAAAGAGTGTATCAAAACTGCTCTGTCAAAAGGAAGGTTCTTTTCTGTTAGGTGAGTGCATACGTCATAAAGGAGTTTCTGAGAATGTTTCTATCTAGTTGTTATGGGAAGATATTTGCTTTTTCACCGTAGGCCTCAGAGCGCTCCAAATATCCACTTGCACATACTACAAAAAGAGTGCCTCAAAGCTGCTCTCTGAAACGGAATGTTCAACTCTATGAGTTGAATGCAAACATCGCAAAGACGTTTCTGAGAATGCTTCTGTCTAGATTTGATATGAAGATATTCCCGTTTCCAACGAAATCTTCATATCTATCCAAATGTCCACTTGCAGATTCAACAAAAAGTGTTTTTCAAAACTGCTGTATCAAAAGAAAGATCCACGTCTGTTAGATGAGTTCACACATCACAAACAAGTTTATGAGAATGCTCTGTCTAGTTTTTATTTGAAGATATTTCCTTTCTCACCATAGACCTGAAAGCTGTCCTAATGTTCACTTCCAGTTACTACAGAAAGAGTGTTTCAAAACTGCTGTACGAAAGGGAATGTTCAACTCTGTGACTTGAATGCACACATCACAAAGAAGTTTCTGAGGATGCTGGCTGTCTACTTTTTATACGTAATCCCGTTTCCAACGAAATCCTCCAAGCTATCCAAATATCCACTTTCAGATTCCACAGAAAGACTGTTTCAAAACTGCTCTGTCAATAGAAAGGTTCAACTCTGTTAGCTGCGTGCATATATCCCAAAGAAGATTCTGAGATTGCTTCTGTCTAGTTTTTATGGGAAGATATTTCCCTTTTCACCGTAGGCGTCAAGGCGCTCCAAATGTCCACTTCCAGATACTACAAAAACAGTGTTTCAAACCTACTCTGTGAAAGGGAATATTCAACTCTGTGACTTGAATGCACATATCACAAGGAAGTTTCTGAGAATTCTTCTGTCGAGATTTTATATGAAGATAATCCCGTTTCCAACGAAATCCTGAAATCTATCCAAATATCCCCTCGCAGATTCTACAAAAAGAGTGTTTCAAAACTGCTCTGTGAAAAGAAAGGTTCAACTCTGTTAGTTGAGTACACACATCACAAACAAGTTTCACAGAATGCTTCTTTCTAGCTTGTAGGGGAAGATATTCCCTTTATCACCATGGGCCTCAAACCGTCCGATAAGTCCACTTCCATATACTACAAAAAGAGCGTTTCAAACCTGCTCTATGAAAGGCAACGTTCAACTCTGTGACTTGAATGCAGACATCACAGAGCAGTTTCTGAGAATGCTTTCTGTCCAGACTTTATAGGAAGATATTCCCGATTCCAACGAAATCTTCACAGCTATCCCAATATCCACTTGCAGATACTACAAAAAGAGTGTATCAAAAAAGCTCTGTCAAAAGGAAAGTTCTTCTCTGCTAGTTGAGTACATACGTCATAAAGAAGTTTCTGAGAATGTTTCTGTCTAGTGGTTATGGGAAGATATTTGCTTTTTCACCGTAGGCCTCAGAGCGCTCCAAATATCCACTTGCACATACTACAAAAAGAGTGCTTCAAAGCTGCTCTCTGAAACGGAATGTTCAGCTCTATGAGTTGAATGCAAACATCACAAAGACGTTTCTGAGAATGCTTGTGTCTAGATTTGATATGAAGATATTCCCGTTTCCAACGAAATCTTCAAATCTATCCAAATGTCCACTTGCAGATTCAACAAAAAGTGTTTTTCAGAACTGCTCTATCAAAAGAAAGATCCACCTCTGTTAGCTGAGTTCACATATCAAAAACAAGTTTATGAGAATGCTTTTGTCTAGTTTTTATTTGAAGATATTTCCTTTCTCACCATAGAGCTGAAAGCTGTCCTAATGTTCACTTCCAGTTACTACAGAAAGAGTGTTTCAAAACTGCTGTACGAAAGGGAATGTTCAACTCTGTGACTTGAATGCACACATCACAAAGAAGTTTCTGAGGATGCTGCAGTCTATTTTTTATACGTAATCCCGTTTCCAACGAAATCCTCCAAGCTATCCAAATATCCACTTGCAGATTCCACAGAAAGACTGTTTCAAAACTGCTCTGTCAATAGAAAGGTTCAACTCTGTTAGCTGCGTGCATATATCCCAAAGAAGATTCTGAGATTGCGTCTGTCTACTTTTTATGAGAAGATATTTCCCTTTTCACCGTAGGTGTCAAGGCGCTCCAAATGTCCACTTCCAGATACTACAAAAAGAGTGTTTCAAACCTACTCTGTGAAAGGGAACATTCAACTCTGTGACTTGAATGCACATATCACAAAGAAGTTTCTGAGAATTCTTCTGTCGAGATTTTATATGAATATATTCCCGTTTCCAACGAAATCCTGAAATCTATCCAAATATCCCCTCGCAGATTCTACAAAAAGAGTGTTTCAAAACTGCTCTGTAAAAAGAAAGGTTCAACTCTGTTAGTTGAGTACACACATCACAAACAAGTTTCACAGAATGCTTCTTTCTAGCTTGTAGGGGAAGAAATTTCCTTTATCACCATGGGCCTCAAACCGTCCGAAACGTCCACTTCCATATACTAACAAAAGAGTGTCTGAAACCTGCTCTATGAAAGGCAATGTTCAACTCTGTGACTTGAATGCAGACATCACAGAGCAGTTTCTGAGAATGCTTCTGTCCTGACTTTATAGGAAGATATTCCCGATTCCAACGAAATCTTTACAGCTATCCAAATATCCACTTGCAGATACTACAAAAAGAGTGTATCAAAAAAGCTCTGTCAAAAGGAAAGTTCTTCTCTGCTAGTTGAGTACATACGTCATAAAGAAGTTTCTGAGAATGTTTCTGTCTAGTGGTTATGGGAAGATATTTGCTTTTTCCCCGTAGGCCTCAGGGCGCTCCAAATGTCCACTTGCACATGCTACAAAAAGAGTGCTTCAAAGCTGCTCTCTGAAAGGGAATGTTCAACTCTATGAGTTGAATGCAAACATCAAAAAGACGTTTCTGAGAATGCTTCTGTCTAGATTTGATATGAAGATATTCCCGTTTCCAACGAAATCTTCAAATCTATCCAAATGTCCACTTGCAGATTCAACAAAAAGTGTTTTTCAAAACTGCTGTATCAAAAGAAAGATCCACCTCTCTTAGCTGAGTTCACACATCACAAACAAGTTTATGAGAATGCTTCTGTCTAGTTTTTATTTGAAGATATTTCCTTTCTCACCATAGACCTGAAAGCTGTCCTAATGTTCACTTCCAGATACTACAGAAAGAGTGTTTCAAAACTGCTGTACGAAAGGGAATGTTCAAATCTGTGACTTGAATGCACACATCACAAAGAAGTTTCTGAGGATGCTGCTGTCTACTTTTTATACGTAATCCCGTTTCCAACGAAATCCTCCAAGCTATCCAAATATCCACTTGCAGATTCCACAGAAAGACTGTTTCAAAAATGCTCTGTCAATAGAAAGGTTCAACTCTGTTAGCTGCGTGCATATATCCCAAAGAAGATTCTGAGATTGCTTCTGTCTAGTTTTGATGGGAAGATATTTCCCTTTTCACCGTGGGCGTCAAGGCGCTCCAAATGTCCACTTCCAGATACTACAAAAAGAGTGTTTCAAACCTACTCTGCGAAAGGGAATATTCAACTCTGTGACTTGAATGCACATATCACAAGGAAGTTTCTGAGAATGCTTCTGTCGAGATTTTATATGAAGATATTCCCGTTTCCAACGAAATGCTGAAATCTATCCCAAATATCCCCTCGCAGATTCTACAAAAAGAGTGTTTCAAAACTGCTCTGTGAAAAGAAAGGTTCAACTCTGTTAGTTGAGTACACACATCACAAACAAGTTTCACAGAATGCTTCTTTCTAGCTTGTAGGGGAAGATATTCCCTTTATCACCATGGGACTCAAACCGTCTGAAACGTCCACTTCCATATACTACAAAAAGAGCATTTCAAACCTGCTCTATGAAAGGCAATGTTCAACTCTGTGACTTGAATGCAGACATCAGAGAGCAGTTTCTGAGAATGCTTCTGTCTAGATTTTATAGGAAGATATTCCCGTTTCCAACGAAATCTTCACAGCTATCCAAATATCCACTTGCAGATGCTACAAAAAGAGTGTATCAAAACTGCTCTGTCAAAAGGAAGGTTCTTCTCTGTTAGGTGAGTGCATACGTCATAAAGGAGTTTCTGAGAATGTTTCTGTCTAGTGGTTATGGGAAGATATTTGCTTTTTCCCCGTAGGCCTCAGAGCGCTCCAAATGTCCACTTGCGCATGCTACAAAAAGAGTGCTTCAAAGCTGCTCTCTGAAACGGAATGTTCAACTCTATGAGTTGAATGCAAACATCACAAAGATGTTTCTGAGAATGCTTCTGTCTAGATTTGATATGAAGATATTCCCGTTTCCAACGAAATCTTCAAATCTATCCAAATGTCCACTTGCAGATTCAACAAAAAGTGTTTTTCAAAACTGCTATATCAAAAGAAAGATCCACCTCTGTTAGCTGAGTTCACACATCACAAACAAGTTTATGAGAATGCTTCTGTCTAGTTTTTATTTGAAGATATTTCCTTTCTCACCATAGAGCTGAAAGCTGTCCTAATGTTCACTTCCAGATACTACAGAAAGAGTTTTTCAAAACTGCTGTACGAAAGGGAATGTTCAACTCTGTGACTTGAAAGCACACATCACAAAGAAGTTTCTGAGGATGCTGCTGTCTACTTTTTATACGTAATCCCGTTTCCAACGAAATCCTCCAAGCTATCCAAATATCCAATTGCAGATTCCACAGAAAGACTGTTTCAAAACTGCTCTGTCAATAGAAAGGTTCAACTCTGTTAGCTGCGTGCATATATCCCAAAGAAGATTCTGCGATTACTTCTGTCTAGTTTTTATGGGAAGATATTTCCCTTTTCACCGTAGGCGTCAAGGCGCTCCAAATGTCCACTTCCAGATACTACAAAAAGAGTGTTTCAAACCTACTCTGTGAAAGGGAGTATTCAACTCTGTGACTTGAATACACATATCACAAAGAAGTTTGCTGAGAATGCTTCTGTCGAGATTTTATATGAAGGTATTCCCGTTTCCAACGAAATCCTGAAATCTATCCAAATATCCGCTCGCAGGTTCTACAAAAAGAGTGTTTCAAAACTGCTCTGTAAAAAGAAAGGTTCAACTCTGTTAGTTGAGTACACACATCACAAACAAGTTTCACAGAATGCTTCTTTCTATCTTGCAGGGGAAGATATTCCCTTTATCACCATGGGCCTCAAACCGTCCGAAACGTCTACTTCCATATACTACAAAAAGAGCGTTTCAAACCTGCTCTATGAAAGGCAATGTTCAACTCTGTGACTTGAATGCAGACATCACAGAGCAGTTTCTGAGAATGCTTCTGTCTAGAATTTATAGGAAGATATTCCCGTTTCCAACGAAAACTTCACAGCTATCCAAATATCCACTTTCAGATTCTACAAAAAGAGTGTATCAAAAGTGCTCTGTCAAAAGGAAGGTTCTTCTCTGTTAGGTGAGTGCATACGTCATAAAGGAGTTTGTGAGAATGTTTCTGTCTAGTGGTAATGGGAAGATATTTGCTTTTTCACCATAGGCCTCAGAGCGCTCCAAATATCCACTTGCACATACTACAAAAAGAGTGCTTCAAAGCTGCTCTCTGAAAGGGAATGTTCAACTCTATGAGTTGAATGCTAACATCACAAAGACGTTTCTGAGAATGCTTCTGTCTAGATTTGATATGAAGATATTCCCGTTTCCAACGAAATCTTCAAATCTATCCAAATGTCCACTTGCAGATTCAACAAAAAGTGTTTTTCAGAACTGCTCTATCAAAAGAAAGATCCACGTGTGTTAGCTGAGTTCACACATCACAAACAAGTTTATGAGAATGCTTTCTGTCTAGTTTTTATTTGAAGATATTTCCTTTCTCACCATAGACCTGAAAGCTGTCCTAATGTTCAGTTCCAGATACTACAGAAAGAGTGTTTCAAAACTGCTGTACGAAAGGGAATGTTCAACTCTGTGACTTGAATGCACACATCACAAAGAAGTTTCTGAGGATGCTGCTGTCTACTTTTTATACGTAATCCCGTTTCCAACGAAATCCTCCAAGCTATCCAAATATCCACTTGCAGATTCCACAGAAAGACTGTTTCAAAACGGCTCTGTCAATAGAAAGGTTCAACTCTGTTAGCTGCGTGCATATATCCCAAAGAAGATTCTGATATTGCTTCTGTCTAGTTTTTATGGGAAGATATTTCCCTTTTCACCGTAGGCGTCAAGGCGCTCCAAATGTCCACTTCCAGATACTACAAAAAGAGTGTTTCAAACCTACTCTGTGAAAGGGAATATTCAACTCTGTGACTTGAATGCAGATATCACAAAGAAGTTTCTAAGAATGCTTCTGTCGAGATTTTATATGAAGATATTCCCGTTTCCAACAAAATCCTGAAATCTATCCAAATATCCCCTCGCAGATTCTACAAAAAGAGTGTTTCAAAACTGCTCTGTAAAAAGAAAGGTTCAACTCTGTTAGCTGAGTACACACATCACAAACAAGTTTCACAGAATGCTTCTTTCTAGCTTGTAGGGGAAGATATTCCCTTTATCACCATGGGCCTCAAACCGTCCGAAACGTCCACTTCCATATACTACAAAAAGAGCGTTTCAAACCTGCTCTATGAAAGGCAATGTTCAACTCTGTGACTTCAATGCAGACATCACAGAGCAGTTTCTGAGAATGCTTCTGTCTAGATTTTATTGGAAGGTATTCCCGTTTCCAACGAAATCTTCACAGCTATCCAAATATCCACTTGCAGATTCTACAAAAAGAGTGTATCAAAAATGCTCTGTCAAAAGGAAGGTTCTTCTCTGTTAGGTGAGTGCACACGTCATAAAGGAGTTTCTGAGAATGTTTCTGTCTAGTGGTTATGGGAAGATATTTGCTTTTTCACCTTAGGCCTCAGAGCGCTCCAAATATCCCCTTGCACATACTACAAAAAGAGTGCTTCAAAGCTGCTCTCTGAAAGGGAATGTTCAACTCTATGAGTTGAATGCAAACATCACAAAGACCTTTCTGAGAATGCTTCTGTGTAGATTTGATATGAAGATATTCCCGTTTCCAACGAAATCTTCTAATCTATCCAAATGTCCACTTGCAGATTCAACAAAAAGTGTTTTTCAGAACTGTTCTATCAAAAGAAAGATCCACCTCTGTTAGCTGAGTTCACACATCACAAACAAGTTTATGAGAATGCTTCTGTCTAGTTTTTATTTGAAGATATTTCCTTTCTCACCATAGACCTGAAAGCTGTCCTAATGTTCACTTCCAGTTACTACAGAAAGAGTGATTCAAAACTGCTGTACGAAAGGGAATGTTCAACTCTGTGACTTGAATGCACACATCACAAAGAAGTTTCTGAGGATGCTGCTGTCTACTTTTTATACGTAATCCCGTTTCCAACGAAATCCTCCAAGCTATCCAAATATCCACTTGCAGATTCCACAGAAAGACTGTTTCAAAACTGCTCTGTCAATAGAAAGGTTCAACTTCTGTTAGCTGCGTGCATATATCCCAAAGAAGATTCTGAGATTGCTTCTGTCTAGTTTTTATGGGAAGATATTTCGCTTTTCACCGTAGGTGTCAAGGCGCTCCAAATGTCCACTTCCAGATACTACAAAAAGAGTGTTTCAAACCTACTCTGTGAAAGGGAATATTCAACTCTGTGACTTGAATGCACATATCACAAAGAAGTTTCTGAGAATGCTTCTGTCGAGATTTTATATGAAGATATTCCCGTTTCCAACGAAATCCTGAAATCTATCCAAATATCCCCTCGCAGATTCTACAAAAAGAGTGTTTCAAAACTGCTCTGTAAAAAGAAAGGTTCAACTCTGTTAGTTGAGTACACACATCTCAAACAAGTTTCACAGAATGCTTCTTTCTAGCTTGTAGGGGAAGATATTCCCTTTATCACCATGGGCCTCAAACCGTCCGAAACGTCCACTTCAATATACTACAAAAAGAGCGTTTCAAACCTGCTCTATGAAAGGCAATGTTCAACTCTGTGACTTGAATGCAGACATCACAGAGCAGTTTCTGAGAATGCTTCTGTCTAGATTTTATAGGAAGATATTCCCGTTTCCAACGAAATCTTCACAGCTATCCGAATATCCACTTGCAGATTCTACAAAAAGAGTGTATCAAAACTGCTCTGTCAAAAGGAAGGTTCTTCTCTGTTAGGTGAGTGCATACGTCATAAAGGAGTTTCTGAGAATGTTTCTGTCTAGTGGTTATGGGAAGATATTTGCTCTTTCACCGTAGGCCTCAGAGCGCTCCAAATATCCACTTGCCCATACTACAAAAAGAGTGCCTCAAAGCTGCTCTCTGAAACGGAATGTTCAACTCTATGAGTTGAATGCAAACATCGCAAAGACGTTTCTGAGAATGCTTCTGTCTAGTATTTGATATGAAGATATTCCCGTTTCCAACGAAATCTTCATATCTATCCAAATGTCCACTTGCAGATTCAACAAAAAGTGTTTTTCAAAACTGCTGTATCAAAAGAAAGATCCACGTCTGTTAGCTGAGTTCACACATCACAAACAAGTTTATGAGAATGCTTCTGTCTAGTTTTTATTTGAAGATATTTCCTTTCTCACCATAGAGCTGAAAGCTGTCCTAATGTTCACTTCCAGATACTACAGAAAGAGTGTTTCAAAACTGCTGTACGAAAGGGAATGTTCAACTCTGTGACTTGAATGCACACATCACAAAGAAGTTTCTGATGATGCTGCTGTGTACTTTTTATACTTAATCCCGTTTCCAACGAAATCCTCCAAGCTATCCAAATATCCACTTGCAGATTCCACAGAAAGACTGTTTCAAAACTGCTCTGTCAATAGAAAGGTTCAACTCTGTTAGCTGCGTGCATATATCCCAAAGAAGATTCTGAGATTGCTTCTGTCTAGTTTTTATGGGAAGATATTTCCCTTTTCACCGTAGGCGTCAAGGCGCTCCAAATGTCCACTTCCAGATACTACAAAAAGAGTGTTTCAAACCTACTCTGTGAAAGGGAATATTCAACTCAGTGATTTGAATGCACATATCACAAAGAAGTTTCTGAGAATGCTTCTGTCGAGATTTTATATGAAGATATTCCCGTTTCCACCGAAATCCTGAAATCTATCCAAATATCCCCTCACAGATTCTACAGAAAGAGTGTTTCAAAACTGCTCTGTAAAAAGAAAGGTTCAACTCTGTTAGTTGAGTACACACATCACAAACAAGTTTCACAGAATGCTTCTTTCTAGCTTGTAGGGGAAGATTCCCCTTTATCATCGTGGTCCTCAAACCGTCCGAAAAGTCCACTTCCCTATACTACAAAAAGAGCGTTTCAAACCTGCTGTATGAAAGGCAATGTTCAACTCTGTGACTTGAATGCAGACATCACAGAGCAGTTTCTGAGAATGCTTCTGTCCAGACTTTATAGGAAGATATTCCCGTTTCCAACGAAATCTTCACAGCTATCCAAATATCCACTTGCAGATAGTACAAAAAGAGTGTATCAAAAATGCTCTGTCAAAAGGAAAGTTCTTCTCTGCTAGTTGAGTACATACGTCATAAAGGAGTTTCTGAGAATGTTTCTGACTAGTGGTTATGGGAAGATATTTGCTTTTTCACCGTAGGCCTCAGAGCGCTCCAAATATCCACTTGCACATACTACAAAAAGAGTGCCTCAAAGCTGCTCTCTGAAACGGAATGTTCAACTCTATGAGTTGAATGCAAACATCACAAAGACGTTTCTGAGAATGCTTCTGTCTAGATTTGATATGAAGATATGCCCGTTTCCAACGAAATCTTCAAATCTATCCAAATATCCACTTGCAGATTCAACAAAAAGTGTTTTTCAGAACTGCTCTATCAAAAGAAAGATCCACCTCTGTTAGCTGAGTTCACACATCAGAAACAAGTTTATGAGAATGCTTCTGTCTAGTTTTTATTTGAAGATATTTCCTTTATCACCATAGACCTGAAAGCTGTCCTAATGTTCACTTCCAGATACTACAGAAAGAGTGTTTCAAAACTGCTGTACGAAAGGGAATGTTCAACTCTGTGACTTGAATGCACACATCACAAAGAAGTTTCTGAGGATGCTGCTGTCTAGTTTTTATACGTAATCCCGTTTCCAACGAAATCCTCCAAGCTATCCAAATATCCACTTGCAGATTCCACAGAAAGACTGTTTCAAAACTGCTCTGTCAATAGAAAGGTTCAACTCTGTTAGCTGCGTGCATATATCCCAAAGGAGATTCTGAGATTGCTTCTGTCTAGTTTTGATGGGAAGATACTTCCCTTTTCACCGTAGGTGTCAAGGCGCTCCAAATATCCACTTCCAGATACTACAAAAAGAGTGTTTCAAACCTACTCTGTGAAAGGGAATATTCAACTCTGTGACTTGAATGCACATATCACAAAGAAGTTTCTGAGAATGCTTCTTTCGAGATTTTATATGAAGATATTCCCGTTTCCAACGAAATCCTGAAATCTATCCAAATATCCCCTCGCAGATTCTACAAAAAGAGTGTTTCAAAACTGCTCTGTAAAAAGAAAGGTTCAACTATGTTAGTTGAGTACACATATCACAAACAAGTTTCACAGAATGCTCTTCTTAGCTTGTGGGGGAAGATATTTCCTTTATCACCATGGGTCTCAAACCGTTCGAAACGTCCACTTCCACATGTAACAAAAAGAGCATTTCAAACCTGCTCCATGAAAGGGAATGTTCAACTCTGTGACTTGAATGCAGATATCACAAAGCAGTTTCTGAGGATGCTGCCTGTCTAGATTTTATAGGAAGATATTCCCGTTTCCAACGAAATCTTCACAGCTATCCAAATATCCACTTGCAGATTCTACAAAAAGAGTGTATCAAAACTGCTCTGTCAAAAGGAAGGTTGTTCTCTGTTAGTTGAGTGCATACGTCATAATGGAGTTTCTGAGAATGTTTCTGTCTAGTGGTTATGGGAAGATACTTGCTTTTTCCCCGTAGGCCTCTGAGCGCTCCAAATGTCAACTTGCACATGCTACAAAAAGAGTGCTTCAAAGCTGCTCTCTGAAGCGGAATGTTCAACTCTATGAGTTGAATGCAAACATCACAAAGACGTTTCTGAGAATGCTTCTGTCTAGATTTGATATGAAGATATTCCCGTTTCCAACGAAATCTTCAAATCTATCCAAATGTCCACTTGCAGATTCAACAAAGTGTTTTTCAGAACTGCTCTATAAAAAGAAAGATCCACCTCTGTTAGCTGAGATCACACTTCACAAACAAGTTTATCAGAATGCTTCTGTCTAGTTTTTATTTGAAGATATTTCCTTTCTCACCATAGACCTGAAATCTGTCCTAATGTTCACTTCCAGATACTACAGAAAGAGTGTTTCAAAACTGCTGTACGAAAGGGAATGTTCAACTCTGTGACTTGAATGCACACATCACAAAGAAGTTTCTGAGGATGCTGCTGTCTACTTTTTATACGTAATCCCGTTTCCAACGAAATCCTCCAAGCTATCCAAATATTCACTTGCAGATTCCACAGAAAGACTGTTTCAAAACTGCTCTGTCAATAGAAAGGTTCAACTCTGTTAGCTGCGTGCATATATCCCAAAGAAGTTTCTGAGATTACTTCTGTCTACTTTTTATGAGAAGATATTTCCCTTTTCACCGTAGGTGTCAAGGCGCTCCAAATGTCCACTTCCAGATACAACAAAAAGAGTGTTTCAAACCTACTCTGTGAAAGGGAATATTCAACTCTGTGACTTGAATGCACATATCACAAAGAAGTTTCTGAGAATGCTTCTGTCGAGATTTTATATGAAGATATTCCCGTTTCCAACGAAATCCTGAAATCTATCCAAATATCCCCTCGCAGATTCTACAAAAAGAGTGTTTCAAAACTGCTCTGTAAAAAGAAAAGTTCAACTCTGTTAGTTGAGTACACACATCACAAACAAGTTTCACACAATGCTTCTTTCTAGCTTGTAGGGGAAGATATTCCCTTTATCACCATGGGCCTCAAACCGTCCGATAAGTCCACTTCTATATACTACAAAAAGAGCGTTTCAAACCTGCTCTATGAAAGGCAATGTTCAACTCTGTGACTTGAATGCAGACATCACAGAGCAGTTTCTGAGAATGCTTCTGTCTAGATTTTATAGGAAGATATTCCCGTTTCCAACGAAATCTTCACAGCTATCCAAATATCCACTTGCAGATTCTACAAAAAGAGTGTATCTAAACTGCTCTGTCAAAAGGAAGGTTATTTTCTGTTAGGTGAGTGCATACCGTCATAAAGGAGTTTCTGAGAATGTTTCTGTCTAGTGGTTATGGGAAGATATTTGCTTTTTCACCTTAGGCCTCAGAGCGCTCCAAATATCCCCTTGCACATACTACAAAAAGAGTGCTTCAAAGCTGCTCTCTGAAACGGAATGTTCAACTCTATGAGTTGAATGCAAACATCACAAAGACGTTTCCGAGAATGCTTCTGTCTAGACTTAATATGAAGATATTCCCGTTTCCAACGAAATCTTCAAATCTATCCAAATGTCCACTTGCAGATTCAACAAAAAGTGTTTTTCAGAACTGCTCTATCAAAAGAAAGATCCACCTCTGTTAGCTGAGTTCACACATCACAAACAAGTTTATGAGAATGCTTCTGTCTAGTTTTTATTTGAAGATATTTCCTTTCTCACCATAGACCTGAAAGCTGTCCTAATGTTCACTTCCAGTTACTACAGAAAGAGTGTTTCAAAACAGCTGTACGAAAGGGAATGTTCAACTCTGTGACTTGAATGCACACATCACAAAGAAGTTTCTGAGGATGGTGCCGTCTACTTTTTATGCGTAATCCCGTTTCCAACGAAATCCTCCAAGCTATCCAAATATCCACTTGCAGATTCCACAGAAAGACTGTTTCAAAACTGCTCTGTCAATAGAAAGGTTCAACTCTGTTAGCTGCGTGCATATATCCCAAAGAAGATTCTGAGATTGCTTCTGTCTAGTTTTTATGGGAAGATATTTCCCTTTTCACCGTAGGCGTCAAGGCGCTCCAAATGTCCACTTCCAGATACTACAAAAAGAGTGTTTCAAACCTACTCTGTGAAAGGGAATATTCAACTCTGTGACTTGAATGCACATATCACAAAGACGTTTCTGAGAATGCTTCTGTCGAGATTTTAAATGAAGATATTCCCGTTTCCAACGAAATCCTGAAATCTATCCAAATATCCCCTCGCAGATTCTACAAAAAGAGTGTTTCAAAACTGCTCTGTGAAAAGAAAGGTTCAACTCTGTTAGTTGAGTACACACATCACAAACAAGTTTCACAGAATGCTTCTTTCTAGCTTGTAGGGGAAGATATTCCCTTTATCACCATGGGCCTCCAACCGTCGGAAACATCCACTTCCATATACTACAAAAAGAGCGTTTCAAACCTGCTGTATGAAAGGCAATGTTCAACTCTGTGACTTGAATGCAGACATCACAGAGCAGTTTCTGAGAATGCTTCTGTCCGGACTTTATAGGAATATATTCCCGATTCCAACGAAATCTTCACAGCTATCCAAATATCCACTTGCAGATACTACAAAAAGAGTGTATCAAAAGTGCTCTGTCAAAAGGAAAGTTCTTCTCTGCTAGTTGAGTACATACGCCATAAAGAAGTTTCTGAGATTGTTTCTGTCTAGTGGTTATGGGAAGATATTTGCTTTTTCCCCGTAGGCCTCAGGGCGCTCCAAATGTCCACTTGCACATGCTACAAAAAGAGTGCTCCAAAGCTGCTCTCTGAAAGGGAATGTTCAACTCTATGAGTTGAATGCAAACATCACAAAGACGTTTCTGAGAATGCTTCTGTCTAGATTTGATATGAAGATATTCCCGTTTCCAACGAAATCTTCAAATCTATCCAAATGTCCACTTGCAGATTCAAAAAAAAGTGTTTTTCAGAACTGCTCTATCAAAAGAAAGATCCACCTCCTGTTAGCTGAGTTCAGACATCACAAACAAGTTTATGAGAATGCTTCTGTCTAGTTTTTATTTGAAGATATTTCCTTTCTCACCATAGACCTGAAAGCTGTCCTAAAGTTCACTTCCAGATACTACAGAAAGAGCGTTTCAAAACTGCTGTATGAAAGGGAATGTTCAACTCTGTGACTTGAATGCACACATCACAAAGAAGTTTCTGAGGATGCTGCTGTCTAATTTTTATACATAATCCCTTTTCCAACGAAATCCTCCAAGCTATCCAAATATCCACTTGCAGATTCCACAGAAAGACTGTTTCAAAACTGCTCTGTCAATAGAAAGGTTCAACTCTGTTAGCTGCGTGCATATATCCCAAAGAAGATTCGGAGATTTCTTCTGCCTAGTTTTTATGGGAAGATATTTCCCTTTTCACCGTAGGCGTCAAGGCGCTCCAAATGTCCACTTCCAGATACTACAAAAAGAGTGTTTCAAACCTACTCAGTGAAAGGGAATATTCAACTCTGTGACTTGAATGCAGATATCACAAAGAAGTTTCTGAGAATGCTTCTGTCGAGATTTTATATGAAGATATTCCCGTTTCCAACGAAATCCTGAAATGTATCCAAATATCCCCTCGCAGATTCTACAAAAAGAGTGTTTCAAAACTGCTCTGTAAAAAGAAAGGTTCAACTCTGTTAGTTGAGTACATACATCACAAACAAGTTTCACAGAATGCTTCTTTCTAGGTTGTAGGGGAAGATATTCCCTTTATCACCATGGGCCTCAAACCGTCCGATAAGTCCACTTCCATATACTACAAAAAGAGCGTTTCAAACCTGCTCTATGAAAGGCAATGTTCAACTCTGTGACTTGAATGCAGACATCACAGAGCAGTTTCTGAGAATGCTTCTGTCCAGACTTTATAGGAAGATATTCCCGATTCCAACGAAATCTTCACATCTATCCAAATATCCACTTGCAGATACTACAAAAAGAGTGTATCAAAAAAGCTCTGTCAAAAGGAAAGTTCTTTTCTGCTAGTTGAGTACATACGTCATAAAGAAGTTTCTGAGAATGTTTCTGTCTAGTTGTTATGGGAAGATATTTGCTTTTTCCCCATAGGCCTCAGAGCGCTCCAAATGTCCACTTGAACATACTACAAAAAGAGTGCTTCAAAGCTGCTCTCTGAAAGGGAATGTTCAACTCTATGAGTTCAATGCAAACATCACAAAGACGTTTCTGAGAATGCTCTGTCTAGATTTGATATGAAGATATTCCCGTTTCCAACGAAATCTTCAAATCTATCCAAATGTCCACTTGCAGATTCAACAGAAAGTGTTTTTCAGAACTGCTCTATCAAAAGAAAGATCCACCTCTGTTAGCTGAGTTCACACATCACAAACAAGTTTATGAGAATGCTTTCTGTCTAGTTTTTATTTGAAGATATTTCCTTTCTCACCATAGACCTGAAAGCTGTCCTAATGTTCACTTCCAGTTACTACAGAAAGAGTGGTTCAAAACTGCTGTACGAAAGGGAATGTTCAACTCTGTGACTTGAATGCACACATCACAAAGAAGTTTCTGAGGATGCTGCTGTCTACTTTTTATACGTAATCCCGTTTCCAACGAAATCCTCCAAGCTATCCAAATATACACTTGCAGATTCCACAGAAAGACTGTTTCAAAACTGCTCTGTCAATAGAAAGGTTCAACTCTGTTAGCTGCGTGCATATATCCCAAAGAAGATTCTGAGATTGTTTCTGTCTAGTTTTTATGGGAAGATATTTCCCTTTTCACAGTAGGTGTCAAGGCGCTCCAAATGTCCACTTCCAGATACTACAAAAAGAGTGTTTCAAACCTACTCTGTGAAAGGGAATATTCAACTCTGTGACTTGAATGCACATATCACAAAGAAGTTTCTGAGAATGCTTCTGTCGAGATTTTATATGAAGATATTCCCGTTTCCATCGAAATCCTGAAATCTATCCAAATATCCGCTCGCAGATTCTACAAAAAGAGTGTTTCAAAACTGCTCTGTGAAAAGAAAGGTTCAACTCTGTTAGTTGAGTACACACATCACAAACAAGTTTCACACAATGCTTCTTTCTAGCTTGTAGGGGAAGATATTCCCTTTATCACCATGGGCCTCAAACCGTCCGATACGTCCACTTCCATATACTACAAAAAGAGCGTTTCAAACCTGCTCTATGAAAGGCAATGTTCAACTCTGTGACTTGAATGTAGACATCACAGAGCAGTTTCTGAGAATGCTTCTGTCTAGATTTTATAGGAAGATATTCCCGTTTCCAACGAAATCTTCACAGCTATCCAAATATCCACTTTCAGATTCTACAAAAAGAGTGTATCAAAAATGCTCTGGCAAAAGGAAGGTTCTTCTCTGTTAGGTGAGTGCATACGTCATAAAGGAGTTTCTCAGAATGTTTCTGTCTAGTGGTTATGGGAAGATATTTGCTTTTTCCCCGTAGGCCTCAGAGCGCTCCAAATATCCACTTGCACATATTACAAAAAGAGTGCTTCAAAGCTGCTCTCTGAAACGGAATGTTCAACTCTATGAGTTGAATGCAAACATCACAAAGACGTTTCTGAGAATGCTTCTGTCTAGATTTGATATGAAGATATTCCCGTTTCCAACGAAATCTTCAAATCTATCCAAATGTCCACTTGCAGATTCAACAAAAAGTGTTTTTCAGAACTGCTCTATCAAAAGAAAGATCCACCTCTGTTAGCTGAGTTCAGACATCACAAACAAGTTTATGAGAATGCATCTGTCTAGTTTTTATTTGAAGATATTTCCTTTCTCACCATAGACCTGAAAGCTGTCCTAATGTTCACTTCCAGATACAACAGAAAGAGTGTTTCAAAACTGCTGTACGAAAGGGAATGTTCAACTCTGTGACTTGAATGCACACATCACAAAGAAGTTTCTGAGGATGCTGCTCTCTACTTTTTATACTTAATCCCGTTTCCAACGAAATCCTCCAAGCTATCCAAATATCCACTTGCAGATTCCACAGAAAGACTGTTTCAAAACTGCTCTGTCAATAGAAAGGTTCAACTCTGTTAGCTGCGTGCATATATCCCAAAGAAGATTCTGAGATTGCTTCTGTCTATTTTTTATGGGAAGATATTTCCCTTTTCACCGTAGGTGTCAAGGCGCTCCAAATGTCCACTTCCAGATACTACAAAAAGAGTGTTTCAAACCTACTCTGTGAAAGGGAATATTCAACTCTGTGACTTGAATGCAGATATCACAAAGAAGTTTCTGAGAATGCTTCTGTCGAAATTTTATATGAAGATATTCCCGTTTCCAACGAAATGCTGAAATGTATCCAAATATCCCCTCGCAGATTCTACAAAAAGAGTGTTTCAAAACTGCTCTGTAAAAAGAAAGGTTCAACTCTGTTAGTTGAGTACACACATCACAAACAAGTTTCACAGAATGCTTCTTTCTAGCTTGTAGGGGAAGATATTCCCTTTATCACCATGGGCCTCCAACCGTCCGAAACATCCAGTTCCATATACTACAAAAAGAGCGTTTCAAACCTCCTCTATGAAAGGCAATGTTCAACTCTGTGACTTGAATGCAGACATCACAGAGCAGTTTCTGAGAATGCTTCTGTCTAGATTTTATAGGAAGATATTCCCGTTTCCAACGAAATCTTCACAGCTATCCAAATATCCACTTGCAGATTCCACAAAAAGAGTGTATCAAAACTGCTCTGTCAAAAGGAAGGTTCTTCTCTGTTAGGTGAGTGCATACGTCATAAAGGAGTTTCTGAGAATGTTTCTGTCTAGTGGTTATGGGAAGATATTTGCTTTTTCACCCTAGGCCTCAGAGCGCTCCAAATATCCACTTGCACATACTACAAAAAGAGTGCCTCAAAGCTGCTCTCTGAAACCGAATGTTCAACTCTATGAGTTGAATGCAAACATCACAAAGACGTTTCTGAGAATGCTTCTGTCTAGATTTGATATGAAGATATTCCCGTTTCCAACGAAATCTTCAAATCTATCCAAATGTCCACTTGCAGATTCAACAAAATGTGTTTTTCAGAACTGCTCTATCAAAAGAAAGATCCACCTCTGTTAGCTGAGTTCACACATCACAAACAAGTTTATGAGAATGCTTTCTGTCTAGTTTTTATTTGAAGATATTTCCTTTCTCACCATAGACCTGAAAGCTGTCCTAATGTTCACTTCCAGATACTACAGAAGGAGTGTTTCAAAACTGCCGTACGAAAGGGAATGTTCAACTCTGTGACTTGAATGCACACATCACAAAGAAGTTTCTGAGGATGCTGCTGTCTACTTTTTATACGTAATCCCGTTTCCAACGAAATCCTCCAAGCTATCCAAATATCCACTTGCAGATTCCACAGAAAGACTGTTTCAAAACTGCTCTGTCAATAGAAAGGTTCAACTCTGTTAGCTGCGTGCATATATCCCAAAGAAGATTCTGAGATTGCCTCTGTCTAGTTTTTATGGGAAGATATTTCCCTTTTCACCGTAGGTGTCAAGGCGCTCCAAATGTCCACTTCCAGATACTACAAAAAGAGTGTTTCAAACCTACTCTGTGAAAGGGAATATTCAACTCTGTGACTAGAATGCACATATTACAAAGAAGTTTCTGAGAATGCTTCTGTCGAGATTTTATATGAAGATATTCCCGTTTCCAACGAAATCCTGAAATCTATCCAAATATCCCCTTGCAGATTCTACAAAAAGAGTGTTTCAAAACCGCTCTGTAAAAAGAAAGGTTCAACTCTGTTAGCTGAGTACACACATCACAAACAAGTTTCACAGAATGCTTCTTTCTAGCTTGTAGAGGAAGATATTCCCTTTATCACCATGGGCCTCAAACCGTCCGATAAGTCCACTTCCATATACTACAAAAAGAGCGTTTCAAACCTGCTCTATGAAAGGCAATGTTCAACTCTGTGACTTGAATGCAGACATCACAGAGCAGTTTCTGAGAATGCTTCTGTCCAGACTTTATAGGAAGATATTCCCGTTTCCAACGAAATCTTCACAGCTATCGAAATATCCACTTGCAGATACTACAAAAGAGTGTATGAAAAATGCTCTGTCAAAAGGAAAGTTCTTCTCTGCTAGTTGAGTACATACGTCATAAAGAAGTTTCTGAGAATGTTTCTGTCTAGTGTTTATGGGAAGATATTTGCTTTTTCACCGTAGGCCTCAGAGCGCTCCAAATATCCACTTGCACATACTACAAAAAGAGTGTTTCCAAGCTGCTCTCTGAAAGGGAATGTTCAACTCTATGAGTTGAATGCAAACATCACAAAGACGTTTCTGAGAATGCTTCTCTCTAGATTTGATATGAAGATATTCCCGTTTCCAAAGAAATCTTCAAATCTATCCAAATGTCCACTTGCAGATTCAACAAAAAGTGTTTTTCCGAACTGCTCTATCAAAAGAAAGATCCACCTCTGTAAGCTGAGTTCACACATCACAAACAAGTTTATGAGAATGCTTCTGTCTAGTTTTTATTTGAAGATATTTGCTTTCTCACCATAGACCTGAAAGCTGTCCTAATGTTCACTTCCAGATACTACAGAAAGAGTGTTTCAAAACTGCTGTACGAAAGGGAATGTTCAACTCTGTGACTTGAATGCACACATCACAAAGAAGTTTCTGAGGATGCTGCTGTCTACTTTTTATACGTAATCCCGTTTCCAACGAAATCCTCCAATCTATGCAAATATCCACTTGCAGATTCCACAGAAAGAGTGTTTCAAAACTGCTCTGTCAATAGAAAGGTTCAACTCTGTTAGCTGCGTGCATATATCCCAAAGAAGATTCTGAGATTGCTTCTGTCTAGTTTTTATGGGAAGATATTTCCCTTTTCACCGTAGGTGTCAAGGCGCTCCAAATGTCCACTTCCAGATACTACAAAAAGAGTGTTTCAAACCTACTCTGTGAAAGGGAATATTCAACTCTGTGAATTGAATGCACATATCACAAAGAAGTTTCTGAGAATGCTTCTGTCGAGATTTTCTATGAAGATATTCCCGTTTCCAACGAAATCGTGAAATCTATCCAAATATCCCCTCGCAGATTCTACAAAAAGAGTGTTTCAAAACTGCTCTGTAAAAAGAAAGGTTCAACTCTGTTAGTTGAGTACACACATCACAAACAAGTTTCACAGAATGCTTCTTTCTAGCTTGTAGGGGAAGATATTCCCTTTATCACCATGGGCCTCCAACCGTCCGAAACATCCACTTTCATATACTACAAAAAGAGCGTTTCAAACCTGCTCTATGAAAGGCAATGTTCAACTCTGTGACTTGAATGCAGACATCACAGAGCAGTTTCTGAGAATGCTTCTGTCTAGATTTTATAGGAAGATATTCCCGTTTCCAACGAAATCTTCACAGCTATCCAAATATCCACTTGCAGATTCTTCAAAAAGAGTGTATCAAAACTGCTCTGTCAAAAGGAAGGTTCTTCTCTGTTAGTTGAGTACATACGTCATAAAGGAGTTTCTGAGAATGTTTCTGTCTAGTGGTTATGGGAAGATATTTGCTTTTTCACCGTAGGCCTCAGAGCGCTCCAAATATCCACTTGCACATACTACAAAAAGAGTGCCTCAAATCTGCTCTCTGAAACGGAATGTTCAACTCTATGAGTTGAATGTAAACATCACAAAGACGTTTCTGAAAATGCTTCTGTCTAGATTTGATATGAAGATATTCCCGTTTCCAAAGAAATCTTCAAATCTATCCAAATGTCCACTTGCAGATTCAACAAAAAGTGTTTTTCAGAACTGCTCTATCAAAAGAAAGATCCACCTCCGTTAGCTGAGTTCACACATCACAAACAAGTTTATGAGAATGCTTCTGTCTAGTTTTTATTTGAAGGTATTTCCTTTCTCACCATAGACCTGAAAGCTGTCCTAATGTTCACTTCCAGATACTACAGAAAGAGTGTTTCAAAACTGCTGTACGAAAGGGAATGTTCAACTCTGTGACTTGAATGCACACATCACAAAGAAGTTTCTGAGGATGTTGCTGTCTACTATTTATACGTAATCCCGTTTCCAACGAAATCCTCCAATCTAACCAAATATCCACTTGCAGATTACACAGAAAGACTGTTTCAAAACTGCTCTGTCAATAGAAAGGTTCAACTCTGTTAGCTGCGTGCATATATCCCAAAGAAGATTCTGAGATTGCTTCTGTCTAGTTTTTATGGGAAGATATTTCCCTTTTCACCGTAGGCGTCCAGGCGCTCCAAATGTCCACTTCCAGATACTACAAAAAGAGTGTTTCAAACCTACTCTGTGAAAGGGAATATTCAACTCTGTGACTTGAATGCACATAACACAAGGAAGTTTCTGAGAATGCTTCTGTCGAGATTTTATATGAAGATATTCCCGTTTCCAACGAAATGCTGAAATGTATCCAAATAACCCCTCGCAGATTCTACAAAAAGAGTGTTTCAAAACTGCTCTGTAAAAAGAAAGGTTCAACTCTGTTAGTTGAGTACACACATCACAAACTAGTTTCACAGAATGCTTCTTTCTAGCTTGTAGGGGAAGATATTCCCTTTATCACCATGGGCCTCCAACCGTCTGAAACATCCACTTCCATATACTACAAAAAGAGCATTTCAAACCTGCTCTATGAAAGGCAATGTTCAACTCTGTGACTTGAATGCAGACATCACAGAGCAGTTTCTGAGAATGCTTCTGTCTAGATTTTATAGGAAGATATTCCCGTTTCCAACGAAATCTTCACAGCTATCCCAATATCCACTTGAAGATTCTACAAAAAGAGTGTATCAAAACTGCTCTGTCAAAAGGAAGGTTCTTCTCTGTTAGGTGAGTGCATACGTCATAAAGCAGTTTCTGAGAATGTTTCTGTCTAGTGGTTATGGGAAGATATTTGCTTTTTCACCGTAGGCCTCAGAGCGCTCCAAATATCCGCTTGCACATACTACAAAAAGAGTGCTTCAAAGCTGCTCTCTGAAACGGAATGTTCAACTCTATGAGTTGAATGCAAACATGACAAAGACGTTTCTGACAATGCTTCTGTCTAGATTTGATATGACGATATTCCCGTTTCCAACGAAATCTTCAAATCTATCCAAATGTCCACTTGCAGATTCAACAAAAAGTGTTTTTCAGAACTGCTCTATCAAAAGAAAGATCCACCTGTGTTAGCTGAGTTCACACATCACAAACAAGTTTATTAGAATGCTTCTGTCTAGTTTTTATTTGAAGATATTTCCTTTCTCACCATAGACCTGAAAGCTGTCCTAATGTTCACTTCCAGATACTACAGAAAGAGCATTTCAAAACTGCTGTACGAAAGAGAATGTTCAACTACTGTGACTTGAATGCACACATCACAAAGAAGTTTCTGAGGATGCTGCTGTCTACTTTTTATACGTAATCCCGTTTCCAACGAAATCCTCCAAGCTATCCAAATATCCACTTGCAGATTCCACAGAAAGACTGTTTCAAAACTGCTCTGTCAATACAAAGGTTCAACTCTGTTAGCTGCATGCATATATCCCAAAGAAGATTCTGAGATTGCTTCTGTCTAGTTTTTATGGGAAGATATTTCCCTTTTCACCGTAGGCGTCAAGGCGCTCCAAATGTCCACTTCCAGATACTACAAAAAGAGTGTTTCAAACCTACTCTGTGAAAGGGAATATTCAACTCTGTGAGTTGAATGCAGATATCACAAAGAAGTTTCTGAGAATGCTTCTGTCGAGATTTTATATGAAGATATTCCCGTTTCCAACGAAATCCTGAAATCTATCCAAATATCCGCTCGCAGATTCTACAAAAAGAGTGTTTCAAAACTGCTCTGTAAAAACAAAGGTTCAACTCTGTTAGTTGAGTACACACATCACAAACAAGTTTCACAGAATGCTTCTTTCTAGCTTGTAGGGGAAGATATTCCCTTTATCACCATGGTCCTCAAACCGTTCGAAACGTCCTCTTCCATATAGTACAAAAAGAGCCTTTCAAACCTGCTCTATGAAAGGCAATGTTCAACTCTGTGACTTGAATGCAGACATCACAGAGCAGTTTCTGAGAATGCTTCTGTCTAGATTTCATAAGAAGATATTCCCGTTTCCAACGAAATCTTCACAGCTATCCAAATATCCACTTGGAGATTCTACAAAAAGAGTGTATCAAAACTGCTCTGTCAAAAGGAAGGTTCTTCTCTGTTAGGTGAGTGCATACGTCATAAAGGAGTTTCTGAGAATGTTTCTGTCTAGTGGTTATGGGAAGATATTTGCTTTTTCACCGTAGGCCTCAGAGCGCTCCAAATATCCACTTGCACATACTACAAAAAGAGTGCCTCAAAGCTGCTCTCTGAAACGGAATGTTCAACTCTATGAGTTGAATGCCAACAGCACAAAGACGTTTCTGAGAATGCTTCTGTCTAGATTTGATATGAAGATATTCCCGTTACCAACGAAATCTTCAAATCTATCCAAATGTCCACTTGCAGATTCAACAAAAAGTGTTTTTCAGAACTGCTCTATCAAAAGAAAGATCCACCTCTGTTAGCTGAGTTCACACATCACAAACAAGTTTATGAGAATGCTTTCTGTCTAGTTTTTATTTGAAGATATTTCCTTTCTCAACATAGAGCTGAAAGCTGTCCTAATGTTCACTTCCAGATACTACAGAAAGAGTGTTTCAAAACTGCTGTACGAAAGGGAATGTTCAACTGTGTGACTTGAATGCACACATCACAAAGAAGTTTCTGAGGATGCTGCTGTCTACTTTTTATACGTAATCCCGTTTCCAACGAAATCCTCCAAGCTATCCAAATATCCACTTGCAGATTCCACAGAAAGACTGTTTCAAGACTGCTCTGGCAATAGAAAGGTTCAACTCTGTTAGCTGCGTGCATATATCCCAAAGAAGATTCTGAGATTGCTTCTGACTAGTTTTTATTGGAAGATATTTCCTTTTTCACCATAGGCATCAAAGCGCTCCAAATTTCCACTTCCAGATACTAAAAAAAAAGAGTGTTTCAAACCTACTGTGTGGAAGGGAATATTTAACTCGGTGACTTCAATGCACATATCACAGAGAAGTTTCTGAGAATGCTTCTGTCGAGATTTTTTATGAAGATATTCCCGTTTACAACGAAATTCTGTAATCTATCCAAATATCCCCTCGCAGATTCTAGAAAAAGAGTGTTTCAAAACTGCTCTGTAAAAAGAAAGTTTCACTTCTCTTAGTTGAGTACACACATCACAAACAAGTTTCTCAGAATGCTTCTTTCTAGGTTGTAGGGGAAGATATTCCCTTTATCACCATGGGCCTCAAACCGTCCGAAACGTCCACTTTTATATACTACAAAAAGAGCGTTTCAAACCTGCTCTATGAAAGGCAATGTTCAACTCTGTGACTTGAATGCAGACATCACAGAGCAGTTTCTGAGAATGCTTCTGTCCAGACTTTATAGGAAGATATTCCCGTTTCCAACGAAATCTTCACAGCTATCCAAATATCCACTTGCAGATAGTACAAAAAGAGTGTATCAGAAATGCTCTGTCAAAAGGAAAGTTCTTACTCTGCTAGTTGAGTACATACGTCATAAAGAAGTTTCTGAGAATGTTTCTGTCTAGTGGTTATGGGAAGATATTTGCTTTTTCACCGTAGGCCTCAGAGCGCTCCAAATATCCACTTGCACATACTACAAAAAGAGTGCTTCAAAGCTGCTCTCTGAAAGGGAATGTTACACTCTATGAGTTGAATGCAAACATCACAAAGACGTTTCTCAGAATGCTTCTGTCTAGATTTGATATGAAGATATTCCCGTTTCCAACGAAATCTTCAAATCTATCCAAATGTCCACTTGCAGATTCAACAAAAAGTGTTTTCCAGAACTGCTCTATCAAAAGAAAGATCCACCTCTGTTAGCTGAGTTCACACATCACAAACAAGTTTATGAGAATGCTTCGGTCTAGTTTTTATTTGAAGATATTTCCTTTCTCACCATAGAGCTGAAAGCTGTCCTAATGTTCACTTCCAGATACTACAGAAAGAGTGTTTCAAAACTGCTGTACGAAAGGGAATGTTCAACTCTGTGACTTGAATGCACACATCAGAAAGAAGTTTCTGAGGATGCTGCTGTCTACTTTTTATACGTAATCCCGTTTCCAACGAAATCCTCCAAGCTATCCAAATATCCACTTACAGATTCCACAGAAAGACTGTTTCAAAACTGCTCTGTCAATAGAAAGGTTCAACTCTGTTAGCTGCGTGCATATATCCCAAAGAAGATTCTGAGATTGCTTCTGTCTAGTTTTTATGGGAAGATATTTCCCTTTTCACCGTAGGCGTCAAGGCGCTCCAAATGTCCACTTCCAGATACTACAAAAAGAGTGTTTCAAACCTACTCTGTGAAAGGGAATATTCAACTCTGTGACTTGAATGCCCATGTCACAAGGAAGTTTCTGAGAATGCTTCTGTCAAGATTTTATAGGAAGAAATTCCCGTTTCCAACGAAATCCTGAAATCTATCCAAATAACCCCTCGCAGATTCTACAAAAAGAGTGTTTCAAAACTGCTCTGTAAAAAGAAAAGTTCAATTCTGTTAGTTGAGTACACACATCACAAACAAGTTTCACAGAATGCTTCTTTCTAGCTTGTAGGGGAAGATATTCCCTTTATCACCATGGGCCTCCAACCGTCCGAAACATCCACTTCCATATACTACAAAAAGAGCGCTTCAAACCTGCTCTATGAAAGGCAATGTTCAACTCTGTGACTTGAATACAGACATCACAGAGCAGTTTCTGAGAATGCTTCTGTCTAGATTTTATAGGAAGATATTCCCGTTTCCAACGAAATCTTCACAGCTATCCAAATATCCACTTGCAGATTCTACAAAAAGAGTGTATCAAAACTGCTCTGTCAAAAGGAAGGTTCTTCTCTGTTAGTTGAGTACATACGTCGTAAAGGAGTTTCTGAGAATGTTTGTGTCTAGTGGTTATGGGAAGATATTTGCTTTTTCACCTTAGGCCTCAGAGCGCTCAAAATATCCCCTTGCACATACTACAAAAAGAGTGCTTCAAAGCTGCTCTCTGAAAGGGAATGTTCAATTCTATGAGTTGAATGCAAACATAACAAATACGTTTCTGAGAATGCTTCTGTCTAGATTTGATATGAAGATATTCCCGTTTCCAACGAAATCTTCAAATCTATCCAAATGTCCACTTGCAGATTCAACAAAGTGTTTTTCAGAACTGCTCTATCAAAAGAAAGATCCACCTCTGTTAGCTGAGATCACACTTCACAAACAAGTTTATCAGAATGCTTATCTGTCTAGTTTTTATTTGAAGATATTTCCTTTCTCACCATAGACCTGAAAGCTGTCCTAATGTTCACTTCCAGATACTACAGAAAGAGTGTTTCAAAACTGCTGTACGAAAGCGAATGTTCAACTCTGTGACTTGAATGCACACATCACAAAGAAGTTTCTGAGGATGCTGCTGTCTACTTTTTATACGTAATCCCGTTTCCAACGAAATCCTCCAAGCTATCCAAATATCCACTTGCAGATTCCACAGAAAGACTGTTTCAAATCTGCTCTGTCAATAGAAAGGTTCAACTCTGTTAGCTGCGTACATATATCCCAAAGAAGATTCTGAGATTGCTTCTGTCTAGTTTTTATGGGAAGATATTTCCCTTTTCACCGTAGGCGTCAAGGCGCTCCAAATGTCCACTTCCAGATACTACAAAAAGAGTGTTTCAAACCTACTCTGTGAAAGGGAATATTCAACTCTGTGACTTGAATGCGCATATCACAAAGAAGTTTCTGAGAATGCTTCCGTCGAGATTTTATATGAAGATATTCCCGTTTCCAACAAAATCCTGAAATCTATCGAAATATCCCCTCGCAGATTCTACAAAAAGAGTGTTTCAAAACTGCTCTGTAAAAAGAAAGGTTCAACTCTGTTAGTTGAGTACACACATCACAAACAAGTTTCACAGAATGCTTCTTTCTAGCTTGTAGGGGAAGATATTCCCTTTATCACCATGGGCCTCCAACCGTCCGAAACATCCACTTCCATATACTACAAAAAGAGCGTTTCAAACCTGCTCTATGAAAGGCAATGTTCAACTCTGTGACTTGAATGCAGGCATCACAGAGCAGTTTCTGAGAATGCTTCTGTCCAGACTTTATAGGAAGATATTCCCGATTCCAACGAAATCTTCACAGCTATCCAAATATCCACTTGCAGATACTACAAAAAGAGTGTATCAAAAAAGCTCTGTCAAAAGGAAAGTTCTTCTCTGCTAGTTGAGAACATACGTCATAAAGAAGTTTCTGAGAATGTTTCTGTCTAGTGGTTATGGGAAGATATTTGCTTTTTCACCGTAGGCCTCAGGGCGCTCCAAATGTCCACTTGCACATGCTACAAAAAGAGTGCTTCAAAGCTGCTCTCTGAAAGGGAATGTTCAACTCTATGAGTTGAATGCAAACATCACAAAGACGTCTCTGAGAATGCTTCTGTCTAGATTTGATATGAAGATATTCCCGTTTCCAACGAAATCTTCAAATCTATCCAAATGTCCACTTGCAGATTCAACAAAAAGTGTTTTTCAGAACTGCTCTATCAAAAGAAAGACCCATCTCTGTTAGCTGAGTTCACACATTACAAACAAGTTTATGAGAATGCTTCTGTCTAGTTTTTATTTGAAGATATTTCCTTTCTCACCATAGACCTGAAAGCTGTCCTAATGTTCACTTCCAGATACTACAGAAAGAGTGTTTCAAAACTGCTGTACGAAAGGGAATGTTCAACTCTGTGACTTGAATGCACACATCACAAAATAGTTTCTGAGGATGCTGCTGTCTACTTTTTATACGTAATCCCGTTTCCAAAGAAATCCCCCAAGCTATCCAAATATCCACTTGCAGATTCCACAGAAAGACTGTTTCAAAACTGCTCTGTCAATAGAAAGGTTCAACTCTAATAGCTGCGTGCATATATCCCAAAGAAGATTCTGAGATTGCTTCTGTCTAGTTTTTATGGGAAGATATTTCCCTTTTCACCGTAGGCGTCAAGGCGCTCCAAATGTCCACTTCCAGATACTACAAAAAGAGTGTTTCAAACCTACTCTGTGAAAGGGAATATTCAACTCTGTGACTGGAATGCACATATCACAAGGAAGTTTCTGAGAATGCTTCTGTCGAGATTTTATATGAAGATATTCCCGTTTCCAACGAAATCCTGAAATCTATCCAAATATCCCCTCGCAGATTCTACAAAAAGAGTGTTTCAAAACTGCTCTGTGAAAAGAAAGGTTCAACTCTGTTAGTTGAGTACACACATCACAAGCAAGTTTCACAGAATGCTTCTTTCTAGCTTGTAGGGGAAGATATTCCCTTTATCACCATGGGCCTCAAACCGTCCGAAACGTCCACTTCCATATACTACAAAAAGAGTGTTTCAAACCTGCTCTATGAAAGGCAATGTTCAACTCTGTGACGTGAATGCAGACATCACAGAGTAGTTTCTGAGAATGCTTCTGTCTAGATTTTATAGGAAGATATTCCCGTTTCCAACGAAATCTTCACAGCTATCCAAATATCCACTTGCAGATTCTACAAAAAGAGTGTATCAAAACTGCTCTGTCAAAAAGAAGGTTCTTCTCTGTTAGGTGAGTGCATACGTCATAAAGGAGTTTCTGAGAATGTTTCAGTCTAGTGTTTATGGGAAGATATTTGCTTTTTCCCCGTAGGCCTCAGAGCGCTCCAAATATCCACTTGCACATACTACAAAAAGAGTGCTTCAAAGCTGCTCTCTGAAACGGAATGTTCAACTCTATGAGTTGAATGCAAACATTACAAAGACGTTTCCGAGAATCCTTTTGTCTAGATTTGATATGAAGATATTCCCGTTTCCAACGAAATCTTCAAATCTATCCAAATGTCCACTTGCAGATTCAACAAAAAGTGTTTTTCAGAACTGCTCTATCAAAAGAAAGATCCACCTCTGTTAGCTGACTTCACACATCACAAACAAGTTTATGAGAATGCTTCTGTCTAGTTTTTATTTGAAGATATTTCCTTTCTCACCATAGACCTGAAAGCTGTCCTAATGTTCACTCCCAGATAATACAGAAAGAGTGCTTCAAAACTGCTGTACGAAAGGGAATGTTCAACTCTGTGACTTGAATGCACACATCACAAAGAAGTTTCTGAGGATGCTGCTGTCTACTTTTGATACGTAATCCCGTTTCCAACGAAATCCTCCAATCTATCCAAATATCCACTTGCAGATTCCACAGAAAGACTGTTTCAAATCTGCTCAGTCAATAGAAAGGTTCAACTCTGTTAGCTGCGTGCATATATCCCAAAGAAGATTCTGAGATTGCTTTCTGTCTAGTTTTTATGGGAAGATATTTCCCTTTTCACCATAGGCGTCAAGGCGCTCCAAATGTCCACTTCCAGATACTACAAAAAGAGTGTTTCAAACCTACTCTGTGAAAGGGAATATTCAACTCGGTGACTTGAATGCACATATCACAAAGAAGTTTCTGAGAATGCTTCTGTCGAGATTTTATATGAAGATATTCCCGTTTCCAACGAAATCCTGAAATCTATCCAAATATCCCCTCACAGATTCTACAAAAAGAGTGTTTCAAAACTGCTCTGTAAAAAGAAAGGTTCAACTCAGTTAGTTGAGTACACACATCACAAACAAGTTTCACAGAATGCTTTCTTTCTAGCTTGTAGGGGAAGATATTCCCTTTATCATCATGGGCCTCAAACCGTCCGAAACGTCCACTTCCATATACTACAAAAAGAGCGTTTCAAACCTGCTCTATGAAAGGCAATGTTCAACTCTGTGACTTGAATGCAGACATCACAGAGCAGTTTCTGAGAATGCTTCTGTCTAGATTTTATAGGAAGATATTACCGTTTCCAACGAAATCTTCACAGCTATCCAAATATCCACTTGCAGATTCTACAAAAAGAGTGTATCAAAACTGCTCTGTCAAAAGGAAGGTTCTTCTCTGTTAGGTGAGTGCATACGTCATAAAGGAGTTTCTGAGAATGTTTCTGTCTAGTGGTTATGGGAAGATATTTTCTTTTTCACTTTAGGCCTCAGAGTGCTCCAAATATCCGCTTGCACATACTACAAAAAGAGTGCTTCAAAGCTGCTCTATGAAAGGGAATGTTCAACTCTATGAGTTGAATGCAAACATCACAAAGACGTTTCTGAGAATGCTTCTGTCTAGATTTGATATGAAGATATTCCCGTTTCCAACGAAATCTTCTAATCTATCCAAATGTCCTCTTGCAGATTTAACAAAAAGTGTTTTTCAGAACTGCTCTATCAAAAGAAAGATCCACGTGTGTTAGCTGAGTTCACACATCACGAACAAGTTTATGAGAATGCTTCTGTCTAGTTTTTATTTGAAGATATATCCTTTCTCACTATAGACCTGAAAGCTCTCCTAAAGTTCACTTCCAGATACTACAGAAAGAGTGTTTCAAAACTGCTGTATGAAAGGGAATGTTCAACTCTGTGACTTGAATGCACACATCACAAGGATGTTTCTGAGGATGCTGCTGTCTAATTTTTATACGTAATCCCGTTTCCAACGAAATCCTCCAAGCTATCCAAATATCCACTTGCAGATTCCACAGAAAGACTGTTTCAAAACTTCTCTGTCAATAGAAAGGTTCAACTCTGTTAGCTGCGTGCATATATCCCAAAGAAGATTCTGAGATTGCTTCTGTCTAGTTTTTATGGGAAGATATTTCCCTTTTCACCGTAGGTGTCAAGGCGCTCCAAATGTCCACTTCCAGATACTACAAAAAGAGTGTTTCAAAGCTACTCTGTGAAAGGGAATATTCAACTCTGTGACTTAAAGGCAGATATCACAAAGAAGTTTCTGAGAATGCTTCTGTCGAGATTTTATATGAAGATATTCCCGTTTCCAACGAAATCCTGAAATCTATCCAAATATCCCCTCGCAGATTCTACAAAAAGAGTGTTTCAAAACTGCTCTGTTAAAAGAAAGGTTCAACTCTGTTAGTTGAGTACACACATCACAAACAAGTTTCACAGAATGCTTCCTTCTAGCTTGTAGGGGAAGATATTCCCTTTATCACCATGGGCCTCAAACCGTCCGAAACGTCCACTTCCATATACTACAAAAAGAGCGTTTCAAACCTGCTCTAGGAAAGGCAATGTTCAACTCTGTGACTTGAATGCAGACATCACAGAGCAGTTTCTGAGAATGCTTCTGTCTAGATTTTATAGGAAGATATTCCCGTTTCCAAGGAAATCTTCACAGCTATCCAATATCCACTTGCAGATTCTACAAAAAGAGTGTATCAAAACTGCTCTGTCAAAAGGAAGGTTCTTCTCTGTTAGTTGAGTACATACGTCATAAAGGAGTTTCTGAGAATGTTTCTGTCTAGTGGTTATGGGAAGATATTTGCTTTTTCACCTTAGGCCTCAGAGCGCTCCAAATATCCCCTTGCACATCCTACAAAAAGAGTGCTTCAAAGCTGCTCTCTGAAAGGGAATGTTCAACTCTATGAGTTGAATGCAAACATCACAAAGACGGTTCTGGGAATGCTTCTGTCTAGATTTGATATGAAGATATTCCCGTTTCCAACGAAATCTTCAAATCTATCCAAATGTCCACTTGCAGATTCAACAAAAAGTGTTTTTCAGAACTGCTCTATCAAAAGAAAGATCCACCTACTGTTAGCTGAGTTCAGACATCACAAACAAGTTTATGAGAATGCTTTTGTCCAGTTTTTATTTGAAGATATTGCCTTTCTCACCGTAGACCTCAAAGCTGTCCTAATGTTCACTTCCAGATACTACAGAAAGAGTGTTTCAAAACTGCTGTACGAAAGGGAATGTTCAACTCTGTGACTTGAATGCACACATCACAAAGAAGTTTCTGAAGATGCTGCTGTCTACTTTTTATACGTAATCCCGTTTCCAACGAAATCCTCCAAGCTATCCAAATATCCACTTGCAGATTCCACAGAAAGACTGTTTCAAAACTGCTCTGTCAATAGAAAGGTTCAACTCTGTTAGCTGCGTGCATACATCCCAAAGAAGATTCTGAGATTGCTTCTGTCTAGTTTTTATGGGAAGATATTTCCCTTTTCACCGTAGGCGTCAAGGCGCTCCAAATGTCCACTTCCAGATACTACAAAAAGAGTGTTTCAAACCTACTCTGTGAAAGGGAATTTTCAACTCTGTGACTTGAATGCACATATCACAAAGAAGTTTCTGAGAATGCTTCTGTCGAGATTTTATATGAAGATATTCCCGTTTCCAACGAAATCCTGAAATGTATCCAAATATCCCCTCGCAGATTCTACAAAAAGAGTGTTTCAAAACTGCTCTGTAAAAACAAAGGTTCAACTCTGTTAGTTGAGTACACACATCACAAACAAGTTTCACACAATGCTTCTTTCTAGCTTGTAGGGGAAGATATTCCCTTTATCACCATGGGCCTCAAACCGTCCGAAACGTCTACTTCCATATACTACAAAAAGAGCGTTTCAAACCTGCTCTAGGAAAGGTAATGTTCAACTCTGTGACTTGAATGCAGACATCACAGAGCAGTTTCTGAGAATGCTTCTGTCTAGATTTTATAGGAAGATATTCCCGTTTCCAACGAAATCTTCCCAGCTATCCAAATATCCACTTGCAGATTCTACAAAAAGAGTGTATCAAAACTGCTCTGTCAAAAGGAAGGTTCTTCTCTGTTAGATGAGTACATACGTCATAAAGGAGTTTCTGAGAATGTTTCTGTCTAGTGGTTATGGGAAGATATTTGCTTTTTCACCGTAGGCCTCAGAGAGCTCCAAATATCCACTTGCACATACTACAAAAAGAGTGCTTCAAAGCTGCTCTCTGAAAGGGAATGTTCAACTCTATGAGTTGAATGCAAACATCACAAAGACGTTTCTGAGAATGCTTCTGTCTAGATTTGATATGAAGATATTCCCGTTTCCAACGAAATCTTCAAATCTATCCAAATGTCCTCTTGCAGATTCAACAAAAAGTGTTTTTCAGAACTGCTCTATCAAAAGAAAGATCCACCTCTGTTAGCTGAGTTCAGACATCACAAACAAGTTTATGAGAATGCTTCTGTCTAGTTTTTATTTGAAGATATTTCCTTTCTCACCATAGACCTGAAAGCTGTCCTAATGTTGACTTCCAGATACTACAGAAAGAGTGTTTCAAAACTGCTGTATGAAAGGGAATGTTCAACTCTGTGACTTGAATGCAGACATCACAGAGCAGTTTCTGAGAATGCTTCTGTCTAGATTTTATAGGAAGATATTCCCGTTTCCAACGAAATCTTCACAGCTATCCAAATATCCACTTGCAGATTCTACAAAAAGAGTGTATCAAAACTGCTCTGTCAAAAGGAAGGTTCTTCTCTGTTAGGTGAGTGCATACGTCATAAAGGAGTTTCTGAGAACGTTTCTGTCTAGTTTTTAGGGGAAGATATTTCCTTTTTCACAATAGGCGTCAAAGCGATCCAAATGTCCACTTCCAGATACTACAAAAAGAGTGTTTCAAACCTACTCTGTGAAAGGGAGTATTCAAGTCTGTGACTTCAATGCAGATATCACAATGAAGTTTCTGAGAATGCTTCTGTCGGGATTTTATATGAATATATTCACGTTTCCAACGAAATCCTGAAATCTATCCAAATATCCCCTCGCAGATTCTACAAAAAGAGTGTTTCAAAACTGCTCTGTAAAAAGAAAGGTTCAACTCTGTTAGTTGAGTACACACATCACAAACAAGTTTCACAGAATGCTTCTTTCTAGCTTGTAGGGGAAGATATTTCCTTTATCACCATGGTCCTCAAGCCGTCTGAAAGGTCCACTTCCATATACTAAAAAAAGAGTGTTTGAAACCTGCTCTATGAAATGCAATGTTCAACTCTGTGACTTGAATGCAGACATCACAGAGCCGTTTCTGAGAATGCTTCTGTCTAGCATTTTATAGGAAGATATTTCCGTTTCTAACGAAACCTTCACAGCTATCCAAATATCCACTTGCAGATTCTACAAAAAGAGTGGATCAAAACTGCTCTGTCAAAAGGAAGGTTCTTCTCTGTTAGTTGAGTACATACGTCATAAAGGAGTTTCTGAGAATGTTTTCTGCTAGTGGTTATGGGAAGATATTTGCTTTTTCACCGTAGGCCTCAGAGCGCTCCAAATATCCACTTGCACATACTACAAAAAGAGTGCCTCACAGCTGCTCTCTGAAACGGAATGTTCAACTCTATGAGTTGAATGCAAACATCGCAAAGACGTTTCTGAGAATGCTTCTGTCTAGATTTGATATGAAGATATTCCCGTTTCCAACGAAATCTTCAAATCTATCCAAATGTCCACTTGCAGATTCAATTAAAAGGGTTTTTCATAACTGGTGTATCAAAAGAAAGACCCACCTCTGTTAGTTGAGTTCACACATCACAAACAAGTTTATGAGAATGCTTCTGTCTAGTTTTTATTTGAAGATATTTCCTTTCTCACCATAGACCTGAAAGGTCTCGAAACGTTCACTTCCAGGTACTAGAGAAAGAGTGTTTCAAACCTGCTGTACGAAAGGGAATGTTCAACTCTTTGACTTGAATGCACACATCACAAAGAAGTTTCTGAGAATGCTGCTGTCTAATTTTTATACGTAATCCCGTTGCCAACGAAATCCTCCAAGCTATCCAAATATCCACTTGCAGATTCCACAGAAAGACTGTTTCAAAACTGCTCTGTCAATAGAAAGGTTCAACTCCGTTAGCTGCGTGCATATATCCCAAAGAAGATTCTGAGATTGCTTCTGTCTAGTTTTTATGGGAAGATATTTCCCTTCTCACCGTAGGTGTCAAGGCGCTCCAAATGTCCACTTCCAGATACTACAAAAAGAGTGTTTCAAACCTACTCTGTGAAAGGGAATATTCAACTCTGTGACTTGAATGCACATATCACAAAGAAGTTTCTGAGAATGCTTCTGTCGAGATTTTATATGAAGATATTCCCGTTTCCAACGAAATCCTGAAATGTATCCAAATATCCCCTCGCAGATTCTACAAAAAGAGTGTTTCAAAACTGCTCTGTAAAAAGAAAGGTTCAACTCTGTTAGTTGAGTACACACATCACAAACAAGTTTCACAGAATGCTTTCTTTCTAGCTTGTAGGGGAAGATATTCCCTTTATCACCATGGGCCTCCAACCGTCCGAAAAGTCCACTTCCATACACTACAAAAAGAGCGTTTCAAACCTGCTCTATGAAAGGCAATGTTCAACTCTGTGACTTGAATGCAGACATCACAGAGCAGTTTCTGAGAATGCTTCTGTCTAGATTTTATAGGAAGATATTCCCGATTCCAACGAAATCTTCACAGCTATCCAAATATCCACTTGGAGATTCTACAAAAAGAGTGTATCAAAACTGCTCTGTCAAAAGGAAGGTTCTTCTCTGTTAGTTGAGTACATACGTCATAAAGGAGTTTCTGAGAATGTTTCTGTCTAGTGGTTATGGGAATATATTTGCTTTTTCCCCGTAGGCCTCAGGGCGCTCCAAATGTCCACTTGCACATGCTACAAAATGAGTGCTTCAAAGCTACTCTCTGAAACGGAATGTTCAACTCTATGAGTTGAATGCAAACATCACAAAGACGTTTCTGAGAATGCTTCTGTCTAGATTTGATATGAAGATATTCCCGTTTCCAAAGAAATCTTCAAATCTATCCAAATGTCCACTTGCAGATTCAAAAAAAAGTGTTTTTCAGAACTGCTCTATCAAAAGAAAGATCCACCTCTGTTAGCTGAGTTCACACATCACAAACAAGTTTATGAGAATGCTTCTGTCTAGTTTTTATTTGAAGATATTTCCTTTCTCACCATAGAGCTGAAAGCTGTCCTAATGTTCACTTCCAGATACTACAGAAAGAGTGTTTCAAAACTGCTGTACGAAAGGGAATGTTGAACTCTGTGACTTGAATGTACACATCACAAAGAAGTTTCTGAGGATGCTGCTGTCTACTTTTTATACTTAATCCCGTTTCCAATGAAATCCTCCAAGCTATCCAAATATCCACTTGCAGATTCCACAGAAAGACTGTTTCAAAACTGCTCTGTCAATAGAAAGGTTCAACTCTGTTAGCTGCGTGCATATATCCCAAAGAAGATTCTGAGATTGCTTCTGTCTAGTTTTTATGGGAAGATATTTACCTTTTCACCATAGGCGCCAAGGCGTTCCAAATGTCCACTTCCAGATACTACAAAAAGAGTGTTTCAAACCTACTCTGTGAAAGGGAATATTCAACTCTGTGACTTGAAGGCAGATATCACAAAGAAGTTTCTGAGAATGCTTCTGTCGAGATTTTATATGAAGATATTCCCGTTTCCAACGAAATCCTGAAATCTATCCAAATATCCCCTCGCAGATTCTACAAAAAGAGTGTTTCAAAACTGCTCTGTAAAAAGAAAGGTTCAACTCTGTTAGTTGAGAACACACATCACAAACATGTTTCACAGAATGCTTCTTTCTAGCTTGTAGGGGAAGATATTCCCTTTATCACCATGGGCCTCAAACCGTCTGAAAAGTCCACTTCCATATACTACAAAAAGAGCGTTTCAAACCTGCTCTATGAAAGGCAATGTTCAACTCTGTGACTTGAATGCAGACATCACAGAGCAGTTTCTGAGAATGCTTCTGTCCAGACTTTATAGGAAGATATTCCCGTTTCCAACGAAATCTTCACAGCTATCCAAATATCCACTTGCAGATAGTAAAAAAAGAGTGTATCAGAAATGCTCTGTCAAAAGGAAAGTTCTTCTCTGCTAGTTGAGTTCATACGTCATAAAGAACTTTCTGAGAATGTTTCTGTCTAGTGGTTATGGGAAGATATTTGCTTTTTCACCTTAGGCCTCAGAGCGCTCCAAATATCCACTTGCACATACTACAAAAAGAGTGCTTCAAAGCTGCTCTCTGAAAGGGAATGTTCAACTCTATGAGTTGAATGCAAACATCCCAAAGACGTTTGCTGAGAATGCTTTCTGTCTAGATTTGATATGACGATATTCCCGTTTCCAACGAAATCTTCAAATCTATCCAAATGTCCACTTGCAGATTCAAGAAAACGTGTTTTTCAGAACTGCTCTATCAAAAGAAAGATCCACCTCTGTTAGCTGAGTTCACACATCACAAACAAGTTTATGAGAATGCTTCTGTCTAGTTTTTATTTGAAGATATTTCCTTTCTCACCATAGACCTGAAAGCTGTCCTAATGTTCACTTCCAGATACTACAGAAAGAGTGTTTCAAAACTGCTGTACGAAAGGGAATGTTCAACTCTGTGACTTGAATGCACACATCACAAACAAGTTTCTGAGGATGCTGCTGTCTACTTTTTATACGTAATCCCGTTTCCTACGAAATCCTCCAAGCTATCCAAATATCCACTTGCAGATTCCACAGAAAGACTGTTTCAAAACTGCTCTGTCAATAGAAAGGTTCAACTCTGTTAGCTGGGTGCATATATCCCAAAGAAGATTCTGAGATTACTTCTGTCTACTTTTTATGAGAAGATATTTCCCTTTTCACCGTAGTCGTCAAGGCGCTCCAAATGTCCACTTCCAGATACTACAAAAAGAGTGTCTCAAACCTACTCTGTGAAAGGGAATATTGAACTCTGTGACTTGAATGCACATATCACAAAGAAGTTTCAGAGAATGCTTCTGTCGAGATTTTATATGAAGATATTCCCGTTTCCAACGAAATCCTGAAATCTATCCAAATATCCCCTCGCAGATTCTACAAAAAGAGTGTTTCAAAACTGCTCTGTAAAAAGAAAGGTTCAAATCTATTAGTTGAGTACACACATCGCAAACAAGTTTCACAGAATGCTTCTTTCTAGCTTGTAGGGGAAGATATTCCCTTTATCACCATGGGCCTCAAACCGTCCGAAACATCCACTTCCATATAGTACAAAAAGAGCGTTTCAAACCTGCTCTATGAAAGGCAATGTTCAACTCTGTGACTTGAATGCAGACATCACAGAGCAGTTTCTGAGAATGCTTTCTGTCTAGATTTTATAGGAAGATATTCCCGTTTCCAAGGAAATCTTCACAGCTATCCAAATATCCACTTGCAGATTCTACAAAAAGAGTGTATCAAAACTGCTCTGTCAAAAGGAAGGTTCTTCTCTGTTAGGTGAGTGCATACGTCATAAAGGAGTTTCTGAGAATGTTTTTGTCTAGTGGATATGGGAAGATATTTGCTTTTTCCCCGTAGGCCTCAAAGCGCTCCAAATGTCCACTTGCACATACTACAAAAAGAGTGCTTCAAAGCTGCTCTCTGAAAGGGAATGTTCAACTCCATGAGTTGAATGCAAACATCACAAAGACGTTTCTGAGAATGCTTCTGTCTAGATTTGATATGAAGATATTCCCGTTTCCAACGAAATCTTCAAATCTATCCAAATGTCCACTTGCAGATTCAACAAAACGTGTTTTTAAGAACTGCTCTATCAAAAGAAAGATCCACCTCTGTTAGCTGAGTTCACACATCACAAACAAGTTTATGAGAATGCTTCTGTCTAGTTTTTATTTGAAGATATTTCCTTTCTCACCATAGAGCTGAAAGCTGTCCTAATGTTCACTTCCAGATACTGCAGAAAGAGTGTTTCAAAACTGCTGTACGAAAGGGAATGTTCAACTCTGTGACTTGAATGCACACATCACAAAGAAGTTTCTGAGGATGCTGCTGTCTACTTTTTATACCTAATCCCGTTTCCAACGAAATCCTCCAAGCTATCCAAATATCCACTTGCAGATTCCACAGAAAGACTGTTTCAAAACTGCTCTGTCAATAGAAAGGTTCAACACTGTTAGCTGCGTGCATATATCCCAAAGAAGATTCTGAGATTGTTTCTGTCTCGTTTTCATGGGAAGATATTTCCCTTTTCACCGTAGGTGTCAAGGCGCTCCAAATGTCCACTTCCAGATACTACAAAAAGAGTGTTTCAAACCTACTCTCTGAAAGGGAATATTCAACTCTGTGACTTGAATGCAGATATCACAATGAAGTTTCTGAGAATGTTTCTGTCGAGATTTTATATGAAGATATTCCCGTTTCCAACGAAATGCTGAAATGTATCCAAATATCCCCTCGCAGATTCTACAAAAAGAGTGTTTCAAAACTGCTCTGTAAAAAGAAAGGTTCAACTCTGTTAGTTGAGTACACACATCCCAAACAAGTTTCACAGAATGCTTCTTTCTAGCTTGTAGGGGAAGATATTCCCTTTATCACAATGGGCCTCAAACCGTCTGAAACGTCCACTTCCATATACTACAAAAAGAGCATTTCAAACCTGCTCTATGAAAGGCAATGTTCAACTCTGTGACTTGAATGCAGGCATCACAGAGCAGTTTCTGAGAATGCTTCTGTCTAGATTTTATAGGAAGATATTCCCGTTTCCAACGAAATCTTGACAGCTATCCAAATATCCACTTGCAGATTCTACAAAAAGAGTGTATCAAAACTGCTCTGTCAAAAGGAAGGTTCTTCTCTGTTAGGTGAGTGCATACGTCATAAAGGAGTTTCTGAGAATGTTTCTGTCTAGTGGTTATGGGAAGATATTTGCTTTTTCACCGTAGGCCTCAGAGCGCTCCAAATATCCACTTGCACATACTACAAAAAGAGTGCTTCAAAGCTGCTCTCTGAAACGGAATGTTCAACTCTATGAGTTGAATGCAAACATCACAAAGACGTTTCCGAGAGTGCTTCTGTCTAGATTTGATATGAAGATATTAACGTTTCCAACGAAATCTTCAAATCTATCCAAAAGTCCACTTGCAGATTCAACAAAAAGTGTTTTTCAGAACTGCTCTATCAAAAGAAAGATCCACCTCTGTTAGCTGAGTTCACACATCACAAACAAGTTTATGAGAATGCTTCTGTCTAGTTTTTATTTGAAGATATTTCCTTTCTCACCATAGACCTGAAAGCTGTCCTAATGTTCACTTCCAGATACTGCAGAAAGAGTGTTTCAAAACTGTTGTACGAAAGGGAATGTTCAACTCTGTGACTTGAATGCACACATCACAAAGAAGTTTCTGAGGATGCAGCTGTCTACTTTTTATGCGTAATCCCGTTTCCAACGAAATCCTCCAAGCTATCCAAATATCCACATGCAGATTCCACAGAAAGACTGTTTCAAAACTGCTCTGTCAATAGAAAGGTTCAACTCTGTTAGCTGCGTGCATATATCCCAAAGAAGATTCTGAGATTGCTTCTGTCTACTTTTTATGAGAAGATATTTCCCTTTTCACCGTAGGCGTCAAGGCGCTCCAAATGTCAACTTCCAGATACTACAAAAAGAGTGTTTCAAACCTACTCTGTGAAAGGGAATATTCAACTCTGTGACTTGAATGCAGATATCACAAAGAAGTTTCTGAGAATGCTTCTGTCGAGTATTTTATATGAAGATATTCCCGTTTCCATCGAAATCCTGAAATCTATCCAAATATCCGCTCGCAGATTCTACAAAAAGAGTGTTTCAAAACTGCTCTGTGAAAAGAAAGGTTCAACTCTGTTAGTTGAGTACACACATCACAAACAAGTTTCACAGAATGCTTCCTTCTAGCTTGTAGGGGAAGATATTCCCTTTATCACCATGGGCCTCAAACCGTCCGAAACGTCCACTTCCATATACTACAAAAAGAGCGTTTCAAACCTGTTATAGGAAAGGCAATGTTCAACTCTGTGACTTGAATGCAGACATCACAGAGCAGTTTCTGAGAATGCTTCTGTCTAGATTTTATAGGAAGATATTCCCGTTTCCAGCGAAATCTTCACAGCTATCCAAATATCCACTTGCAGATTCTACAAAAAGAGTGTATCAAAACTGCTCTGTCAAAAGGAAGATTCTTCTCTGATAGGTAAGTGCATAAGTCATAAAGGAGTTTCTGAGAATGTTTCTGTCTTGTGGTTATGGGAAGATATTTGCTTTTTCACCGTAGGCCTCAGAGCGCTCCAAATATCCACTTGCACATACTACAAAAAGAGTGCCTCAAAGCTGCTCTCTGAAACGGAATGTTCAACTCTATGAGTTGAATGCAAACATCGCAAAGACGTTTCTGAGAATGCTTCTCTCTAGATTTGATATGAAGATATTCCCGTTTCCAACGAAATCTTCAATCTATCCAAATATCCACTTGCAGATTCAACAAAAAGTGTTTTTCAGAACTGCTCTATCAAAAGAAAGATCCACCTCTGTTAGCTGAGTTCACACATCACAAACAAGTTTATGAGAATGCTTCTGTCTAGTTTTTAGTTGAAGATATTTCCTTTCTCACCATAGAGCTGAAAGCTGTCCTAATGTTCACTTCCAGATACTACAGAAAGAGTGTTTCAAAACTGCTCTACGAAAGGGAATGTTCAACTCTGTGACTTGAATGCACACATCACAAAGAAGTTTCTGAGGATGCTGCTGTCTACTTTTTATACGTAATCCCGTTTCCAACGAAATCCTCCAAGCTATCCAAATATCCACTTGCAGATTCCCCAGAAAGACTGTTTCAAAACTGCTCTGTCAATAGAAAGGTTCAACTCTGTTAGCTGCGTGCATATATCCCAAAGAAGATTCTGAGATTGCTTCTGTCTAGTTTTTATGGGAAGATATTTCCCTTTTCACCGTAGGTGTCAAGGCGCTCCAAATATCCACTTCCAGATACTACAAAAAGAGTGTTTCAAACCTACTCTGTGAAAGGGAATGTTCAACTCTGTGACTTGAATGCACACATCACAAAGAAGTTTCTGAGGATGCTTCTGTCGAGATTTTGTATGAAGATATTCCCGTTTCCAAGGAAATCCTGAAATCTATCCAAATTTCCCCTCGCAGATTCTACAAAAAGAGTGTTTCAAAACTGCTCTGTAAAAAGAAAGGTTCAACTCTGTTAGTTGAGTACACACATCACAAACAAGTTTCACAGAATGCTTCTTTCTAGCTTGTAGGGGAAGATATTTCCTTTATCACCATGGGCCTTAAACCGTCCGAAACGTCCACTTCCATAAACTAAAAAAAGAGTGTTTGAAACCTGCTCTATGAAAGGCAATGTTCAACTCTGTGACTTGAATGCAGACATCACAGAGCAGTTTCTGAGAATGCTGCTGTCTAGATTTTATAGGAAGAAATTCCCGTTTCCAACGAAATCTTCACAGTTATCCAAATATAGACTTGCAGATTCTACAAAAAGATTGTATCAAAATTGCTGTGTCAAAAGGAAGGTTCAACTCTGTTAGTTGAGTACGTACGTCACAAAGAAGTTTCTGAGAATGTTTCTGTCTAGTGGTTATGGGAAGATATTTGCTTTTTCAACGTAGGCCTCAGAGCGCTCTAAATATCCACTTGCACATACTACAAAAAGAGTGCCTCAAAGCTGCTCTCTGAAACGGAATGTTCAACTCTATGAGTTGAATGCAAACATCACAAAGACGTTTCTGAGAATGCTTCTGTCTAGATTTGATATGAAGATATTCCCTTTTCCAACGAAATCTTCAAATCTATCCAAATGTCCACTTGCAGATTCAACAAAAAGTGTTTTTCAGAACTGCTCTATCAAAAGAAAGATCCACCTCTGTTAGCTGAGTTCACACATCACAAACAAGTTTATGAGAATGCTTCTGTCTAGTTTTTATTTGAAGATATTTCCTTTCTCACCATAGACCTGAAAGCTCTCGCCCCGTTCACTTCCAGGTACTAGAGAAAGAGTGTTTCAAACCTCCTATACGAAAGGGAATGTTCAACTCTTTGACTTGAATGCACACATCACAAAGAAGTTTCTGAGAATGCTGCTGTCTACTTTGTATACATAATCCCGTTTCCAAAGAAATCCTCCAAGCTATCCAAATATCCACTTGCAGATTCCACTAAAAGACTGTTTCAAAACTGCTCTGTCAATAGAAAGTTTCAACTCTGTTAGCTGGGTGCATACATCCCAAAGAAGATTCTGAGATTGCTTGTGTCTAGTTTTGATGGGAAGATATTTCCCTTTTCACCGTGGGCGTCAAGGCGCTCCAAATGTCCACTTCCAGATACTACAAAAAGAGTGTTTCAAACCTACTCTGTGAAAGGGAATATTCAACTCTGTGACTTGAATGCACATATCACAAGGAAGTTTCTGAGAATGCTTCTGTCGAGATTTTATATGAAGATATTCCCGTTTCCAACGAAATGCTGAAATCTATCCAAATATCCCCTCGCAGATTCTACAAAAAGAGTGTTTCAAAACTGCTCTGTGAAAAGAAAGGTTCAACTCTGTTAGTTGAGTACACACATCACCAACAAGTTTCACAGAATGCTTCTTTCTAGCTTGTACGGGAAGATATTCCCTTTATCACCATGGGCCTCAAACCGTCCGAAACGTCCACTTCAATATACTACAAAAAGAGCGTTTCAAACCTGCTCTATGAAAGGCAATGTTCAACTCTGTGACTTGAATGCAGACATCACAGAGCAGTTTCTGAGAATGCTTCTGTCTAGATTTTATAGGAAGATATTCCCGTTTCCAACGAAATCTTCACAGCTATCCAAATATCCACTTGCAGATTCTACAAAAAGAGTGTATCAAAGCTGCTCTGTCAAAAGGGAAGGTTCTTCTCTGTTAGGTGAGTGCATACGTCATAAAGGAGTTTCTGAGAATGTTTCTGTCTAGTGGTTATGGGAAGATATTTGCTTTTTCACCGTAGGTCTCAGAGCGCTCCAAATATCCACTTGCACATAGTACAAAAAGAGTGCTTCAAAGCTGCTCTCTGAAACGGAATGTTCAACTCTATGAGTTGAATGCAAACATCACAAAGACGTTTCTGAGAATGCTTCTGTCTAGATTTGATTTGAAGATATTCACGTTTCCAACGAAATCTTCAAATCTATCCAAATGTCCACTTGCAGATTCAACAAAAAGTGTTTTTCAGAACTGCTCTATCAAAAGAAAGATCCACCTCTGTTAGCTGAGTTCAGACATCACAAACAAGTTTATGAGAATGCTTCTGTCTAGTTTTTATTTGAAGATATATCCTTTCTCACTATAGACCTGAAAGCTGTCCTAATGTTCACTTCCAGATACTACAGAAAGAGTGTTTCAAAACTGCTGTACGAAAGGGAATGTTCAACTCTGTGACTTGAATGCACACATCACAAAGCAAGTTTCTGAGGATACTGCTGTCTACTTTTTATACGTAATCCCGTTTCCAACGAAATCCTCCAATCTATCCAAATATCCACTTGCAGATTCCACAGAAAGACTGTTTCAAATCTGCTCAGTCAATAGAAAGGTTCAAATCTGTCAGCTGCGTGCATATATCACAAAGAAGATTCTGAGATTGCTTCTGTCTAGTTTTTATGGGAAGATATTTCCCTTTTCACCGTGGGCGTCAAGGCGCTCCAAATGACCACTTCCAGATACTACAAAAAGAGTGTTTCAAACCTACTCTGTGAAAGGGAATATTCAACTCTGTGACTTGAATGCACATATCACAAGGAAGTCTCTGAGAATGCTTCTGTCGAGATTTTATATGAAGATATTCCCGTTTCCAACGAAATCCTGAAATCTATCCAAATAACCCCTCGCAGATTCTACAAAAAGAGTGTTTCAAAACTGCTCTGTAAAAAGAAAGGTTCAACTATGTAAGTTGAGTACACACATCACAAACAAGTTTCACAGAATGCTTCTTTCTAGCTTGTAGGGGAAGATATTCCCTTTATCACCATGGGCCTCAAACCGTCCGAAACGTCCACTTCCATATACTACAAAAAGAGCGTTTCAAACCTGCTCTATGAAAGACAATGTTGAACTCTGTGACTTGAATGCAGACATCACAGAGCAGTTTCTGAGAATGCTTCTGTCTAGATTTTATAGGAAGATATTCCCGTTTCCAACGAAATCTTCACAGCTATCCAAATATCCACTTGCAGATTCTACAAAAAGAGTGTATCAAAACTGCTCTGTCAAAAGGAAGGTTCTTTTCTGTTCGGTGAGTGCATACGTCATAAAGGCGTTTCTGAGAATGTTTCTGTCTAGTGGTTATGGGAAGATATTTGCTTTTTCACCGTAGGCCTCAGAGCGCTCCAAATATCCACTTGCACATACTACAAAAAGACTGCTTCAAAGCTGCTCTCTGAAAGGGAATGTTCAACTCTATGAGTTGAATGCAAACATCACAAAGACGTTTCTGAGAATGCTTCTGTCTAGATTTGATATGAAGATATTCCCGATTCCAACGAAATCTTCAAATCTATCCAAATGTCCACTTGCAGATTCAACAAAAAGTGTTTTTCAGAACTGCTCTATCAAAAGAAAGATCCACCTCTGTTAGCTGAGTTCACACATCACAAACAAGTTTATGAGAATGCTTCTGTCTAGTTTATATTTGAAGATATTTCCTTTCTCACCATAGAGCTGAAAGCTGTCCTAATGTTCACTTCCAGATACTACAGAAAGAGTGTTTCAAAACTGCTGTATGAAAGGGAATGTTCAACTCTGTGACTTGAATGCACACATCACAAAGAAGTTTCTGAGGATGCTGCTGTCTACTTTTTATACGTAATCCCGTTTCCAACGAAATCCTCCAAGCTATCCAAATATCCACTTGCAGAATCCACAGAAAGACTGTTTCAAAACTGCTCTGTCAATAGAAAGGTTCAACTCTGTTAGCTGCGTGCATATATCCCAAAGAAGATTCTGAGATTGCTTCTGTCTAGTTTTTATGGGAAGATATTTCCCTTTTCACCGTAGGCGTCAAGGCGCTCCAAATGTCCACTTTCAGATATTACAAAAAGAGTGTTTCAAACCTACTCTGTGAAAGGGAATATTCAACTCTGTGACTTGAATGCACATATCACAAGGAAGTTTCTGAGAATGCTTCTGTCGAGATTTTATATGAAGATATTCCCGTTTCCAACGAAATCCTGAAATCTATCCATATATCCCCTCGCAGATTCTACAAAAAGAGTGTTTCAAAACTGCTCTGTAAAAGGAAAGGTTCAACTCTGTTAGTTGAGTACACACATCACAAACAAGTTTCACAGAATGCTTCTTTCTAGCTTGTAGGGGAAGATATTCCCTTTATCACCATGGGCCTCCAACCGTCCGAAACATCCACTTCCATATACTACAAAAAGAGCGTTTCAAACCTGCTCTATGAAAGGCAATGTTCAACTCTGTGACTTGAATACAGACATCACAGAGCAATTTCTGAGAATGCTTCTGTCTAGATTTTATAGGCAAGATATTCCCGTTTCCAACGAAATCTTCACAGCTATCCAAATATCCACTTGCAGATTCTACAAAAAGAGTGTATCAAAACTGCTCTTTCAAAAGGAAGGTTCTTCTCTGTTAGTTGAGTACATACGTCATAAAGGAGTTTCTGAGAATGTTTCTGTCTAGTGGTTATGGGAAGATATTTGCTTTTTCACCGTAGGCCTCAGAGCGCTCCAAATATGCACTTGCACATACTACAAAAACAGTGCTTCAAAGCTGCTCTCTGAAACGGAATGTTCAACTCTATGAGTTGAATGCAAACATCGCAAAGACGTTTCTGAGAATGCTTCTGTCTAGATTTGATATGAAGATATTCCTGTTTCCAACGAAATCTTCAAATCTATTCAAATGTCCACTTGCAGATTCAACAAAAAGTGTTTTTCAAAACTGCTGTTTCGAAAGAAAGATCCACCTCTGTTAGCTGAGTTCACACTTCACAAACAAGTTTATCAGAATGCTTCTGTCTAGTTTTTATTTGAAGATATTTCCTTTCTCACCATAGACCTGAAAGCTGTCCTAATGTTCACTTCCAGATACTACAGAAAGAGTGTTTCAAAACTGCTGTACGAAAGGGAATGTTCAACTCTCTGACTTGAATGCACACATCACAAAGAAGTTTCTGAGGATGCTGCTGGCTACTTTTTATACGTAATCCCGTTTCCAACGAAATCGTCCAAGCTATCCAAATATCCACTTGCAGATTCCACAGAAAGACTGTTTCAAAACTGCTCTGTCAATAGAAAGGTTCAACTCTGTTAGCTGCGTGCATATATCCCAAAGAAGATTCTGAGATTGCTTCTGTCTAGTTTTTATGGGAAGATATTTCCCTTTTCACCGTAGGCGTCAAGGCGCTCCAAATGTCCACTTCCAGATACTACAAAAAGAGTGTTTCAAACCTACTCTGTGAAAGAGAATATTCAACTCTGTGACTTAAAGGCAGATATCACAAAGAAGTTTCTGAGAATGCTTCTGTCGAGATTTTATATGAAGATATTCCCGTTTCCAACGAAATCCTGAAATCTATCCAAATATCCCCTCGCAGATTCTACAAAAAGAGTGTTTCAAAACTACTCTGTAAAAAGAAATGTTCAACTCTGTTAGTTGAGTACACACATCACAAACAAGTTTCACAGAATGCTTCTTTCTAGCTTGTAGGGAAGATATTCCCTTTATCACCTTGGGCCTCAAACCGTCCGAAACATCCACTTCCATATACTACAAAAAGAGCGTTTCAAACCTGCTCTATGAAAGGCAATGTTCAACTCTGTGACTTGAATGCAGACATCACAGAGCAGTTTCTGAGAATGCTTCTGTCTAGATTTTATAGGAAGATATTCCCGTTTCCAACGAAATCTTCACAGCTATCCAAATATCCAATTGCAGATTCTACAAAAAGAGTGTATCAAAACTGCTCTGTCAAAAGGAAGGTTCTTCTCTGTTAGGTGAGTGCATACGTCATAAAGGAGTTTCTGAGAATGTTTCTGTCTAGTGGTTATGGGAAGATATTTGCTTTTTCACCGTAGGCCTCAGAGCGCTCCAAATATCCACTTGCACATACTACAAAAAGAGTGCTTCAAAGCTGCTCTCTGAAACGGAATGTTCAACTCTATGAGTTGAATGCAAACATCACAAAGACTTTTCTGAGAATGCTTCTGTCTAGATTTGATATGAAGATATTCCCGTTTCCAACGAAATCTTCAAATCTATCCAAATGTCCACTTGCAGATTCAACAAAAAGTGTTTTTCAAAACTGCTCTATCTAAAGAAAGATCCACGTCTGTTAGCTGAGTTCACACATCACAAACAAGTTTATGAGAATGCTTCTGTCTAGTTTTTATTTGAAGATATTTCCTTTCTCACCATAGACCTGAAAGCTGTCCTAATGTTCACTTCCAGATACTACAGAAAGAGTGTTTCAAAACTGCTGTACGAAAGGGAATGTTCAACTCTGTGATTTGAATGCACACATCACAAAGAAGTTTCTGAGGATGCTGCTGTCTACTTTTTATACGTAATCCCGTTTCCAACGAAATCCTCCAAGCTATCCAAATATCCACTTGCAGATTCCACAGAAAGACTGTTTCAAAACTGCTCTGTCAATAGAAAGGTTCAACTCTATTAGCTGCGTACATATATCCCAAAGAAGATTCTGAGATTGCGTCTGTCTAGTTTTTATGGGAAGATATTTCCCTTTTCACCGTAGGCGTCAAGGCGCTCCAAATGTCCACTTCCAGATACTACAAAAAGAGTGTTTCAAACCTACTCTGTGAAAGGGAATATTCAACACTGTGACTTGAATGCACATATCACAAAGAAGTTTCTGAGAATGCTTCTGTCGAGATTTTATATGAAGATATTCCCGTTTCCAACGAAATCCTGAAAACTATCCAAATATCCCCTCGCAGATTCTACAAAAAGAGTGTTTCAAAACTGCTCTGTAAAAAGAAAGGTTCAACTCTGTTAGTGGAGTACACACATCACAAAAAAGTTTCACAGAATGCTTCTTTCTAGCTTGTAGGGGAAGATATTCCCTTTATCACCATGGGCCTCAAACCGTCCGAAACGTCTACTTCCATATACTACAAAAAGAGCGTTTCAAACCTGCTCTATGAAAGGCAATGTTCAACTCTGTGACTTGAATGCAGACATCACAGACCAGTTTCTGAGAATGCTTCTGTCTAGATTTTATAGGAAGATATTCCCGTATCCAACGAAATCTTCACAGCTATCCAAATATCCACTTGCAGATTCTACAAAAAGAGTGTATCAAAACTGCTCTGTCAAAAGGAAGGTTCTTCTCTGTTAGTTGAGTGCATACGTCATAAAGGAGTTTCTGAGAATGTTTCTGTCTAGTGGTTAGGGGAAGATATTTGCTTTTTCACCTTAGGCCTCAGAGCGCTCCAAATATCCCCTTGCACATACTACAAAAAGAGTGCTTCAAAGCTGCTCTCTGAAAGGGAATGTTCAACTCTGTGAGTTGAATGCAAACATCACAAAGACGTTTCTGAGAATGCTTCTGTCTAGATTTGATATGAAGATATTCCCGTTTCCAACGAAATCTTCAAATCTATCCAAATGTCCGCTTGCAGATTCAACAAAACGTGTTTTTCAGAACTGCTCTATCAAAAGAAAGATCCACGTCTCTAAGCTGAGTTCACACATCACAAACAAGTTTATGAGAATGCTTCTGTCTAGTTTTTATTTGAAGATATTTCCTTTCTCACCATAGACCTGAAAGCTGTCCTAATGTTCACTTCCACATACTACAGAAAGAGTGTTTCAAAACTGCTGTACGAAAGGGAATGTTCAACTCTGTGACTTGAATGCACACATCACAAAGAAGTTTCTGAGGATGCTGCTGTCTACTTTTTATGCGTAATCCCGTTTCCAACGAAATCCTCCAAGCTATCCAAATATCCACTTGCAGATTCCACAGAAAGACTGTTTCAAAACTGCTCTGTCAATAGAAAGGTTCAACTCTGATAGCTGCGTGCATATATCCCAAAGAAGATTCTGAGATTGCTTCTGTCTAGTTTTTATGGGAAGATATTTCCCTTTTCACCGTGGGCGTCAAGGCGCTCCAAATGTCCACTTCCAGATACTACAAGAAGAGTGTTTCAAACCTACTCTGTGAAAGGGAATATTCAACTCTGTGACTTGAATGCACATATCACAAGGAAGTTTCTGAGAATGCTTCTGTCGAGATTTTATATGAAGTTATTCCCGTTTCCAACGAAATCCTGAAATCTATCCAAATATCCCCTCGCAGATTCTACAAAAAGAGTGTTTCAAAACTGCTCTGTAAAAAGAAAGGTTCAACTCTGTTAGTTGAGTACACACATCACAAACAAGTTTCACAGAATGCTTCTTTCTAGCTTGTAGGGGAAGATATTCCCTTTATCACCATGGGCCTCAAACCGTCCGAAAAGTCCACTTCCATATACTACAAAAAGAGCGTTTCAAACCTGCTCTATGAAAGGCAATGTTCAACTGCTGTGACTTGAATGCAGACATCACAGAGCAGTTTCCTGAGAATGCTTCTGTCTAGATTTTATAGGAAGATATTCCCGTTTCCAACGAAATCTTCACAGCTATCCAAATATCCACTTGCAGATACTACAAAAAGAGTGTATCAAAAATGCTCTGTCAAAAGGAAAGTTCTTCTCTGCTAGTTGAGTACATACGTCATAAAGAAGTTTCTCAGAATGTTTCTGTCTAGTGGTTATGGGAAGATACTTGCTTTTTCCCCGTAGGCCTCAGAGCGCTCCAAATGTCAACTTGCACATGCTACAAAAAGAGTGCTTCAAAGCTGCTCTCTGAAGCGGAATGTTCAACTCTATGCGTTGAATGCAAACATCACAAAGACGTTTCTGAGAATGCTTCTGTCTAGATTTGATATGAAGATATTCCCGTTTCCAACGAAATCTTCAAATCTATCCAAATGTCCACTTGCAGATTCAACAAAAAGTGTTTTTCAGAACTGCTCTATCAAAAGAAAGATCCACCTCTGTTAGCTGAGTTCACACATCAGAAAAAAGTTTATGAGAATGCTTCTGTCTAGTTTTTATTTGAAGATATTTCCTTTCTCACCATAGACCTGAAAGCTGTCCTAATGTTCACTCCCAGATACTACAGAAAGAGTGTTTCAAAACTGCTGTACGAAAGGGAATGTTCAACTCTGTGACTTGAATGCACACATCACAAAGAAGTTTCTGAGGATGCTGCTGTCTACTTTTTATACGTAATCCCGTTTCCAACGAAATCCTCCAATCTATCCAAATATCCACTTGCAGATTCCACAGAAAGACTGTTTCAAAACTGCTCTGTCAATAGAAAGGTTCAACTCTGTTAGCTGAGTGCATATATCCCAAAGAAGATTCTGAGATTGCTTCTGTCTAGTTTTTATGGGAAGATATTTCCCATTTCACCGTAGGCGTCAAGGCGCTCCAAATGTCCACTTCCAGATACTACAAAAAGAGTGTTTCAAACCTACTCTGTGAAAGGGAATATTCAACTCTGTGACTTGAATGCAGATATCACAAAGAAGTTTCTGAGAATGCTTCTGTCGAGATTTTATATGAAGATATTCCCCTTTCCAACGAAATCCTGAAATCTATCCAAATATGCCCTCGCAGATTCTACAAAAAGACTGTTTCAAAACTGCTCTGTAAAAAGAAAGGTTCAACTCTGTTAGTTGAGTACACACATCACAAACAAGTTTCACAGAATGCTTCTTTCTAGCTTGTAGGGGAAGATATTCCCTTTATCACCATGGGCCTCAAACCGTCCGAAACGTCCACTTCCATATACTACAAAAAGAGCGTTTCAAACCTGCTCTATGAAAGGCAATGTTCAACTCTGTGACTTGAATACAGACATCACAGAGCAGTTTCTGAGAATGCTTCTGTCTAGATTTTATAGGAAGATATTCCCGTTTCCAACGAAATCTTCACAGGTATCCAAATATCCACTTGCAGATTCTACAAAAAGAGTGTTTCAAAACTGCTCTGTCAAAAGGAAGGTTCTTCTCTGTTAGGTGAGTGCATACGTCATAAAGGAGTTTCTGAGAGTGTTTCTGTCTAGTGGTTATGGGAAGATATTTGCTTTTTCACCGTAGGCCTCAGAGCGCTCCAAATATCCGCTTACACATACTACAAAAAGAGTGCTTCAAAGCTGCTCTCTGAAACGGAATGTTCAACTCTATGAGTTGAATGCAAACATCACAAAGACGTTTCTGAGAATGCTTCTGTCTAGATTTGATATGAAGATATTCCCGTTTCCAACGAAATCTTCAAATCTATCAAAATGTCCACTTGCAGATTCAACAAAAAGTGTTTTTTAGAACTGCTCTATCAAAAGAAAGATCCACCTCTGTTAGCTGAGTTCACACATCACAAACAAGTTTATGAGAATGCTTCTGTCTAGTTTTTATTTGAAGATATTTCCTTTCTCACCAAAGACCTGAAAGCTGTCCTAATGTTCACTTCCAGATACTACAGAAAGAGTGTTTCAAAACTGCTGTACGAAAGGGAATGTTCAACTCTGTGACTTGAATGCACACATCACAAAGAAGTTTCTGAGGATGCGGCTGTCTACTTTTTATACTTAATCCCGTTTCCAACGAAATCCTCCAAGCTATCGAAATATCCACTTGCAGATTCCACAGAAAGACTGTTTCAAAACTGCTCTGTCAATAGAAAGGTTCAACTCTGTTAGCTGCGTGCATATATCCCAAAGAAGATTCTGAGATTGCTGCTGTCTAGTTTTTATGGGAAGATATTTCCCTTTTCACCGTAGGCGTCAAGGCGCTCCAAATGACCACTTCCAGATACTACAAAAAGAGTGTTTCAAACCTACTCTGTGAAAGGGAATATTCAACTCTGTGACTTGAATGCAGATATCACAAAGAAGTTTCTGAGAATTCTTCTGTCGAGATTTTATATGAAGATATTCCCGTTTCCAACGAAATCCTGAAATCTATCCAAATATCCCCTCGCAGATTCTACAAAAAGAGTGTTTCAAAACTGCTCTGTAAAAAGAAAGGTTCAACTCTGTTACTTGACTACACACATCACAAACAAGTTGCACACAATGCTTCTTTCTAGCTTGTAGGGGAAGATATTCCCGTTATCTCCATGGGCCTCAAACCGTCCGAAACGTCCACTTCCATATACTAAAAAAAGAGTGTTAGAAACCTGCTCTATGAAAGGCAATGTTCAACACTGTGACTTGAATGCAGACATCACAGAGCAGTTTCTGAGAATGCTTCTGTCTAGATTTTATAGGAAGATATTCCCGTTTCCAACGAAATCTTCACAGCTATCCAAATATCTACTTGCAGACTATACAAAAAGAGTGTATCAAAACTGCTCTGTCAAAAGGAAGGTTCTTCTCTGTTAGGTGAGTGCATACGTCATAAAGGAGTTTCTGAGAATGTTTCTGTCTACTGGTTATGGGAAGATATTTGCTTTTTCCCCTTAGGCCTCAAAGCGCTCCAAATGTCAATTTGCACTTACTACAAAAAGAGTGCTTCAAAACTGCTCTCTGAAAGGGAATGTTCAACTCTATGAGTTGAATGCAAACATCACAAAGACGTTTCTGAGAATGCTTCTGTCTAGATTTGATATGAAGATCTTCCCGTTTCCAACGAAATCTTCAAATCTATCCAAATATCCACTTGCAGATTCAACAAAAAGTGTTTTTCAGAACTGCTCTATCAAAAGAAAGATCCATCTCTGTTAGCTGAGTTCACACATCACAAACAAGTTTATGAGAATGCTTCTGTCTAGTTTTTATTTGAAGATTTTGCCTTTCTCACCATAGACCTGAAAGCTGTCCTAATGTTCACTTCCAGATACTACAGAAAGAGTGTTTCAAAACTGCTGTACGAAAGGGAATGTTCAACTCTGTGACTTGAATGCACACATCACAAAGAAGTTTCTGAGGATGCTGCTGTCTAATTTTTATACGTAATCCCGTTTCCAACGAAATCCTCCAAGCTATCCAAATATCCACTTGCAGATTCCACAGAAAGACTGTTTCAAAACTGCTCTGTCAATAGAAAGGTTCAACTCTGTTAGCTGGGTGCATATATCCCAGAGAAGATTCTGAGATTGCTTCTGTCTAGTTTTTATGGGAAGATATTTCCCTTTTCACCGTAGGCGTCAAGGCGCTCCAAATGTCCACTTCCAGATACTACAAAAAGAGTGTTTCAAACCTACTCTGTGAAAGGGAATATTCAACTCTGTGACTTGAATTCACATATCACAAAGAAGTTTCTGAGAATGCTTCTGTCGAGATTTTATATGAAGATATTCCCGTTTCCAACGAAATCCTGAAATCTATCCAAATATCCCCTCGCAGATTCTTCAAAAAGAGAGTTTCAAAACTGCTCTGTAAAAAGAAAGGCTCTGTTAGTTGAGTACACACATCACAAACAAGTTTCACAGAATGCTTCTTTCTAGCTTGTAGGGGAAGATATTCCCTTTATCACCATGGGCCTCAAACCGTCCGAAACGTCTACTTCCATATACTACAAAAAGAGCGTTTCAAACCTGTTCTATGAAAGGCAATGTTCAACTCTGTGACTTGAATGCAGACATCACAGAGCAGTTTCTGAGAATGCTTCTGTCTAGATCTTATAGGAAGATATTCCCGTTTCAAACGAAATCTTCACAGCTATCCAAATATCCACTTGCAGATTCTACAAAAAGAGTGTATCAAAACTGCTCTGTCAAAAGGAAGGTTCTTCTCTGTTAGGTGAGTGCATACGTCATAAAGGATTTTCTGAGAATGTTTCTGTCTAGTGTTTATGGGAAGATATTTGCTTTTTCACCGTAGGCCTCAGAGCGCTCCAAATATCCACTTGCACATACTACAAAAAGAGTGCCTCAAAGCTGCTCTCTGAAACGGAATGTTCAACTCTATGAGTTGAATGCAAACATCACAAAGACGTTTCTGAGAATGCTTCTGTCTAGATTTCATATGAAGATATTCCCATTTCCAACGAAATCTTCATATCTATCCAAATGTCCACTTGCAGATTCAACAAAAAGTGTTTTTCAAAACTGCTGTATCAAAAGAAAGATCCACGTCTGTTAGCTGAGTTCACACATCACAAACAAGTTTATGAGAATGCTTCTGTCTAGTTTTTATTTGAAGATATATCCTTTCTCACTATAGACGTGAAAGCTCTCCTAAAGTTCACTTCCAGATACTACAGAAAGAGTTTTTCAAAACTGCTGTACGAAAGGGAATGTTCAACTCTGTGACTTGAAAGCACACATCAATAAGGAAGATTCTGAGGATGCTGCTGTCTACTTTTTATACGTAATCCCGTTTCCAACGAAATCCTCCAAGCTATCCAAATATCCACTTGCAGATTCCACAGAAAGACAGTTTCAAAACTGCTCTGTCAATAGAAAGGTTCAACTCTGTTAGCTGCGTGCATATATCCCAAAGAAGATTCTGAGATTGCTTCTGTCTACTTTTTATGAGAAGATATTTCCCTTTTCACCGTAGGCGTCAAGGCGCTCCAAATGTCTACTTCCAGATACTACAAAAAGAGTGTTTCAAACCTACTCAGTGAAAGGGAATATTCAACTCTGTGACTTGAATGCAGATATCACAAAGAAGTTTCTGAGAATGCTTCTGTCGAGATTTTATATGAAGATATTCCCGTTTCCAACGAAATGCTGAAATCTATCCAAATATCCCCTCGCAGATTCTACAAAAAGAGTGTTTCAAAACTGCTCTGTGAAAAGAAAGGTTCAACTCTGTTAGTTGAGTACACACATCACAAACAAGTTTCACACAATGCTTTCTTTCTAGCTTGTAGGGGAAGATATTCCCTTTATCACCATGGGCCTCAAACCGTCCGAAACGTCCACTGCCATATATTACAAAAAGAGCGTTTCAAACCTGCTTTATGAAAGGCAATGTTCAACTCTGTGACTTGAATGCAGACATCACAGAGCAGTTTCTGAGAATGCTTCTGTCTAGATTTTATAGGAAGATATTCCCGTTTCCAACGAAATCTTCACAGCTATTCAAATATCCACTTGCAGATTCTACAAAAAGAGTGTATCAAAACTGCTCTGTCAAAAGGAAGGTTCTTCTCTGTTAGGTGAGTGCACACGTCATAAAGGAGTTTCTGAGAATGTTTCTGTCTAGTGGTTATGGGAAGATATTTTCTTTTTCACCGTAGGCCTCAGAGCGCTCCAAATATCCACTTGCACATACTACAAAAAGAGTGTTTCAAAGCTGCTCTCTGAAAGGGAATGTTCAACTCTATGAGTTGAATGCAAACATGACAGAGACGTTTCTGAGAATGCTTCTGTCTAGATTTGATATGAAGATATCCCCGTTTCCAACGAAATCTTCAAATCTATCCAAATGTCCACTTGCAGATTCAACAAAAAGTGTTTTTCAGAACTGCTCTATCAAAAGAAAGATCCACCTCTGTTAGCTGAGTTCACACATCACAAACAAGTTTATGAGAATGCTTCTGTCTAGTTTTTATTTGAAGATATTTCCTTTCTCACCATGGACCTGAAAGCTGTCCTAATGTTCACTTCCAGATACTACAGAAAGAGTGTTTCAAAACTGCTGTACGAAAGGGAATGTTCAACTCTGTGACTTGAATGCACACATCACAAAGAAGTTTCTGAGGATTCTGCTGTCTACTTTTTATACTTAATCCCGTTTCCAACGAAATCCTCCAAGCTATCCAAATATCCACTTGCAGATTCCACAGAAAGGCTGTTTCAAAACTGCTCTGTCAATAGAAAGGTTCAACTCTGTTAGCTGCGTGCATATATCCCAAAGAAGATTCTGAGATTGCTTCTGTCTACTTTTTATGAGAAGATATTTCCCTTTTCACCGTAGGTGTCAATGCGCTCCAAATGTCCACTTCCAGATACTAGAAAAAAAGTGTTTCAAACCTACTCTGTGAAAGGGAATATTCAACTCTGTGACTTGAATGCACATATCACAAAGAAGCTTCTGAGAATGCTTCTGTCGAGATTTTATATAAAGATATTCCCGTTTCCAACGAAATCCTGAAATCTATCCAAATATCCCCTCGCAGATTCTACAAAAAGAGTGTTTCAAAACTGCTCTGTAAAAAGAAAGGTTCAATTCTGTTAGTTGAGTACACACATCACAAACAAGTTTCACAGAATCCTTCTTTCTAGCTTGTAGGGGAAGATATTTCCTTTATCACCATTGTCCTCAAACCGTCCGAAACGTCCACTTCCATATACTAAAAAAAGAGTGTTTGAAAGCTGCTCTATGAAAGCCAATGTTCAACTCTGTGACTTGAATGCAAACACCACAGAGCAGTTTCTGAGAATGCTTCTGTCTAGATTTTATAGGAAGATATTCCCGTTTCCAACGAAATCTTCACAGCTATCCAAATATCCACTTGCAGATTCTACAAAAAGAGTGTATCAAAACTGCTCTGTCAAAAGGAAGGTTCTTTTCTGTTAGGTGAGTGCATACGTCATAAAGGCGTTTCTGAGAATGTTTGTGTCTAGTGGTTATGGGAAGATATTTGCTTTTTCACCTTAGGCCTCAGAGCGCTCAAAATATCCCCTTGCACATACTACAAAAAGAGTGCTTCAAAGCTGCTCTCTGAAAGGGAATGTTCAATTCTATGAGTTGAATGCAAACATCACAAAGACGTTTCTGAGAATGCTTCTGTCTAGATTTGATATAAAGATATTCCCGTTTCCAACGAAATCTTCAAATCTATCCAAATGTCCACTTGGAGATTCAACAAAAAGTGTTTTTCCGAACTGCTCTATCAAAAGAAAGATCCACCTCTGTTAGCTGAGTTGACACATCACAAACAAGTTTATGAGAATGCTTTCTGTCTAGTTTTTATTTGAAGATATTTCCTTTCTCGCCATAGACCTGAAAGCTGTCCTAATGTTCACTTCCAGATACTACAGAAAGAGTGTTTCAAAACTGCTGTACGAAAGGGAATGTTCAACTCTGTGACTTGAATGCACACATCACAAAGAAGTTTCTGAGGATGCTGCTGTCTACTTTTTATACTTAATCCCGTTTCCAACGAAATCCTCCAAGCTATCCAAATATCCACTTTCAGATTCCACAGAAAGACTGTTTCAAAACTGCTCTGTCAATAGAAAGGTTCAACTCTGTTAGCTGCGTGCATATATCCCAAAGAAGATTCTGAGATTGCTTCTGTCTAGTTTTTATGGGAAGATATTTCCCTTTTCACCGTAGGCGTCAAGGCGCTCCAAATCTCCACTTCCAGATACTACAAAAAGAGTGTTTCAAACCTACTCTGTGAAAGGGAATATTCAACTCTGTGACTTGAATGGAGATATCACAAAGAAGTTTCTGAGAATGCTTCTGTCGAGATTTTGTATGAAGATATTCCCGTTTCCAACGAAATCCTGAAATCTATCCAAATATCCCCTCGCAGATTCTACAAAAAGAGTGTTTCAAAACTGCTCTGTGAAAAGAAAGGTTCAACTCTGTTAGTTGAGTACAGACATCACAAACAAGTTTCACAGAATGCTTCTTTCTAGCTTGTAGGGGAAGATATTCCCTTTATCACCATGGGCCTCAAACCGTCCGAAAAGTCCACTTCCATATACTACAAAAAGAGCGTTTCAAACCTGCTCTATGAAAGGCAATGTTCAACTCTGTGACTTGAATACAGACATCACAGAGCAGTTTCTGAGAATGCTTCTGTCCAGACTTTATAGGAAGATATTCCCGATTCCAACGAAATCTTCACAGCTATCCAAATATCCACTTGCAGATACTACAAAAAGAGTGTATCAAAAAAGCTCTGTCAAAAGGAAAGTTCTTTTCTGCTAGTTGAGTACATACGTCATAAAGAAGTTTCTGAGAATGTTTCTGTCTAGTTGTTATGGGAAGATATTTGCTTTTTCCCCGTAGGCCTCAGAGCGTTCCAAATGTCCACTTGAACATACTACAAAAAGAGTGCTTCAAAGCTGCTCTCTGAAAGGGAATGTTCAACTCTATGAGTTCAATGCAAACATCACAAAGACGTTTCTGAGAATGCTTCTGTCTAGATTTGATATGACGATATTCCCGTTTCCAATGAAATCTTCAAATCTATCCAAATGTCCACTTGCAGATTCAACAAAACGTGTTTTTCAGAACTGCTCTATCAAAAGAAAGATCCACGTCTATTAGCTGAGTTCACACATCACAAACAAGTTTATGAGAATGCTTCTGTCTAGTTTTTATTTGAAGATATTTCCTTTCTCACCATAGAGCTGAAAGCTGTCCTAATGTTCACTTCCAGATGCTACAGAAAGAGTGTTTCAAAACTGCTGTACGAAAGGGTATGTTCAACTCTGTGACTTGAATGCACACATCACAAAGAAGTTTCTGAGGATGCTGCTGTCTACTTTTTATACGTAATCCCGTTTCCAATGAAATCCTCCAATCTATCCAAATATCCACTTGCAGATTCCACAGAAAGACTGTTTCAAAACTGCTCTGTCAATAGAAAGGTTCAACTCTGTTAGCTGTGTGCATATATCCCAAAGAAGATTCTGAGATTGCTTCTGTCTAGTTTTTATGGGAAGATATTTGCCTTTTCACCGTAGGTGTCAAGGCGCTCCAAATGTCCACTTCCAGATACTACAAAAAGAGTGTTTCAAACCTACTCTGTGAAAGGGAATATTCAACTCTGTGACTTGAATGCACATATCACAAGGAAAGTTTCTGAGAATGCTTCTGTCGAGATTTTATATGAAGATATTCCCGTTTCCAACGAAATGCAGAAATGTATCCAAATATCCCCTCGCAGATTCTACAAAAAGAGTGTTTCAAAACTGCTCTGTAAAAAGAAAGGTTCAACTCTGTTAGTTGAGTACACACATCACAAACAAGTTTCACACAATGCTTCTTTCTAGCTTGTAGGGGAAGATATTCCCTTTATCACCATGGTCCTCAAACCGTCCGAAACGTCCACTTCCATATACTACAAAAAGAGCGTTTCAAACCTGCTCTAGGAAAGGCAATGTTCAACTCTGTTACTTGAATGCAGACATCACAGAGCAGTTTCTGAGAATGCTTCTGTCTAGATTTTATAGGAAGATATTCCCGTTTCCAACGAAACCTTCACAACTATCCAAATATCCACTTGCAGATTCTACAAAAAGAGTGTATCAAAACTGCTCTGTCAAAAGGAAGGTTCTTTTCTGTTAGGTGAGTGCATACGTCATAAAGGAGTTTCTGAGAATGTTTCTGTCTAGTGGTTATGGGAAGATATTTGCTTTTTCACCGTAGGCCTCAGAGCGCTCCAAATATCCACTTGCACATACTACAAGAAGAGTGCTTCAAACCTGCTCTCTGAAACGGAATGTTCAACTCTATGAGTTGAATGCAAACATCACAAAGACGTTTCTGAGAATGCTTCTGTCTAGATTTGATATAAAGATATTCCCGTTTCCAACGAAATCTTCAAATCTATCCAAATGTCCACTTGGAGATTCAACAAAAAGTGTTTTTCCGAACTGCTCTATCAAAAGAAAGATCCACCTCTGTTAGCTGAGTTGACACATCACAAACAAGTTTATGAGAATGCTTCTGTCTAGTTTTTATTTGAAGATATTTCCTTTCTCACCATAGACCTGAAAGCTGTCCTAATGTTCACTTCCAGTTACTACAGAAAGAGTGTTTCAAAACTGCTGTACGAAAGGGAATGTTCAACTCTGTGACTTGAATGCACACATCACAATGAAGTTTCTGAGGATGCTGCTGTCTACTTTTTATACTTAATCCCGTTTCCAACGAAATCCTCCAAGCTATCCAAATATCCACTTGCAGATTCCACAGAAAGACTGTTTCAAAACTGCTCTGTCAATAGAAAGGTTCAACTGCTGTTAGCTGCGTGCATATATCCCAAAGAAGATTCTGAGATTGCTTCTGTCTAGTTTTTATGGGAAGATATTTCCCTTTTCACCGTAGGTGTCAAGGCGCTCCAAATGTCCACTTCCAGATACTACAAAAAGAGTGTTTCAAACCTACTCTGTGAAAGGGAATATTCAACTCTGTGACGTGAATGCACATATCACAAGGAAGTTTCTGAGAATGCTTCTGTCGAGATTTTATATGAAGATATTCCCGTTTCCAACGAAATCCTGAAATCTATCCAAATATCCCCTCGCAGATTCTACAAAAAGAGTGTTTCAAAACTGCTCTGTAAAAAGAAAGGTTCAACTCTGTTAGTTGAGTACACACATCACAAACAGGTTTCACAGATTGCTTCTTTCTAGCTTGTAGGGGAAGATATTCCCTTTATCACCATGGGCCTCAAACCGTCCGAAAAGTCTACTTCCATATACTACAAAAAGAGCGTTTCAAACCTGCTCTATGAAAAGCAATGTTCAACTCTGTGACTTGAATGCAGACATCACAGAGCAGTTTCTGAGAATGCTTCTGTCTAGGTTTTATAGGAAGATATTCCCGTTTCCAACGAAATCTTCACAGCTATCCAAATATCCACTTGCAGATTCTACAAAAAGAGTGTATCAAAACTGCTCTGTCAAAAGGAAGGTTCTTTTCTGTTAGGTGAGTGCATACGTCATAAAGGAGTTTCTGAGAATGTTTCTGTCTAGTGGTTTTGGGAAGATATTTGCTTTTTCACCGTAGGCCTCAGAGCGCTCCAAATATCCACTTGCACATACTACAAAAAGAGTGCCTCAAAGCTGCTCTCTGAAACGGAATGTTCAACTCTATGAGTTGAATGCAAACATCGCAAAGACGTTTCTGAGAATGCTTCTGTCTAGTATTTGATATGAAGATATTCCCGTTTCCAACGAAATCTTCAAATCTATCCAAATGTCCACTTGCAGATTCATCAAAAAGTGTTTTTCAAAACTGCTGTATCAAAAGAAAGATCCACGTCTGTTAGCTGAGTTCACACATCACAAACAAGTTTATGAGAATGCTTCTGTCTAGTTTTTATTTGAAGATATTTCCTTTCTCACCATAGACCTGAAAGCTGTCCTAATGTTCACTTCCAGTTACTACAGAAAGAGTGTTTCAAAACTGCTGTACGAAAGGGAATGTTCAACTCTGTGACTTGAATACACACATCACAAAGAAGTTTCTGAGGATGCTGCTGTCTACTTTTTATACGTAATCCCGTTTCCAACGAAGTCCTCCAAGCTATCCAAATATCCACTTGCAGATTCCACAGAAAGGCTGTTTCAAAACTGCTCTGTCAATAGAAAGGTTCAACTCTGTTAGCTGCGTGCATATATCCCAAAGAAGATTCTGAGATTGCTTCTGTCGAATTTTTATGGGAAGATATTTCCCTTTTCACCGTAGGTGTCAAGGCGCTCCAAATGTCCACTTCCAGATACTACAAAAAGAGTGTTTCAAACCTACTCTGTGAAAGGGAATATTCAACTCTGTGACTTGAATGCACATATCACAAAGAAGTTTCTGAGAATGCTTCTGTCGAGATTTTATAGGAAGATATTCCCTTTTCCAACGAAATCATGAATTCTATCCAAATAACCCCTCGCAGATTCTACAAAAAGAGTGTTTCAAAACTCCTCTGTAAAAAGAAAGGTTCAACTCTGTTAGTTGAGTACACACATCACAAACAAGTTTCACAGAATGCTTCTCTCTAGCTTGTAGGGGAAGATATTTCCTATATCACCATGGGCCTCAAACTGTCCGAATCGTCCCCTTCCATATACTAAAAAAAGAGTGTTTGAAACCTCCTCTATGAAAGGCAATGTTCTACTCTGTGACTTGAATGCAGACATCACAGGGCAGTTTCTGAGAATGCTTCTGTCTAGATTTTATAGGAAGATATTCCCGTTTCCAACGAAATCTTCACAGCTATCCAAATATCCACTTGCAGATTCTACAAAAAGAGTGTATCAAAACTGCTCTGTCAAAAGGAAGGTTCTTTTCTGTTAGCTGAGTGCATACGTCATAAAGGAGTTTCTGAGAATGTTTCTGTCTAGTGGTTATGGGAAGATATTTGCTTTTTCACCTTAGGCCTCAGAGCGCTCCAAATATCCCCTTGCAAATACTACAAAAAGAGTGCTTCAAAGCTGCTCTCTGAAAGAGAATGTTCAACTCTATGAGTTGAATGCAAACATCACAAAGACGTTTCTGGGAATGCTTCTGTCTAGATTTGATATGAAGATATTCCCGTTTCCAACGAAATCTTCATATCTATCCAAATGTCCACTTGCAGATTCAACAAAAAGTGTTTTTCAAAACTGCTGTATCAAAAGAAAGATCCACGTCTGTTAGCTGAGTTCACACATCACAAACAAGTTTATGAGAATGATTCTGTCTAGTTTTTATTTGAAGATATATCCTTTCTCACTATAGACCTGAAAGCTCTCCTAAAATTCACTTCCAGATACTACAGAAAGAGTGTTTCAAAACTGCTGTACGAAAGGGAATGTTCAACTCTGTGACTTGAATGCACACATCACAAGGATGTTTCTGAGGATGCTGCTGTCTACTTTTTATACGTAATCCCGTTTCCAACGAAATCCCCCAAGCTATCCAAATATCCACTTGCAGATTCCACAGAAAGACTGTTTCAAAACTGCTCTGTCAATAGAAAGGTTCAACTCTGTTAGCTGCGTGCATATATCCCAAAGAAGATTCTGAGATTGCTTCTGTCTACTTTTTATGAGAAGATATTTCCCTTTTCACCGTAGGCGTCAAGGTGCTCCAAATGTCCACTTCCAGATACTACAAAAAGAGTGTTTCAAACTTACTCTGTGAAAGGGAATATTCAACTCTGTGACTTGAATGCACATATCACAAAGAAGCTTCTGAGAATGCTTCTGTCGAGATTTTATATGAAGATATTCCCGTTTCCAACGAAATCCTGAAATCTATCCAAATATCCCCTCGCAGATTCTACAAAAAGAGTGTTTCAAAACTGCTCTGTAAAAAGAAAGGTTCAACTCTGTTAGTTGAGTACACACATCACAAACAAGTTTCACAGAATGCTTATCTTTCTAGCTTGTAGGGGAAGATATTCCCTTTATCACCATGGGCCTCCAACCGTCCGAAACATCCACTTCCATATACTACAAAAAGAGCGTTTCAAACCTGCTCTATGAAAGTCAATGTTCAACTCTGTGACTTGAATGCAGACATCACAGAGCAGTTTCTGAGAATGCTTCTGTCTAGATTTTATAGGAAGATATTCCCGTTTCCAACGAAATCTTCACAGCTATCCAAATATCCACTTGCAGATTCTACAAAAAGAGTGGATCAAAACTGCTCTTTCAAAAGGAAGGTTCTTCTCTGTTAGGTGAGTGCACACGTCATAAAGGAGTTTCTGAGAATGTTTCTGTCTAGTGGTTATGGGAAGATATTTGCTTTTTCACCTTAGGCCTCAGAGCGCTCTAAATATCCCCTTGCACATACTACAAAAAGAGTGCTATAAAGCTGCTCTCTCAAAGGGAATGTTCAACTCTATGAGTTGAATGCAAACATCACAAAGACGTTTCTGGGAATGCTTCTGTCTAGATTTGATATGAAGATATTCCCGTTTCCAACGAAATCTTCAAATCTATCCAAATGTCCACTTGCAGATTCAACAAAAAGTGTTTTTCAGAACTGCTCTATCAAAAGAAAGATCCACCTCTGTTAGATGAGTTCACACATCACAAACAAGTTTATGAGAATGCTTTCTGTCTAGTTTTTATTTGAAGATATTACCTTTCTCACCATAGACCTGAAAGCTGTCCTAATGTTCACTTCCAGATACTACAGAAAGAGTGTTTCAAAACTGCTGTACGAAAGGGAATGTTCAACTACTGTGACTTGAATGCACACATCACAAAGAAGTTTGCTGAGGATGCTGCTGTCTACTTTTTATACGTAATCCCGTTTCCAAGGAAATCCTCCAAGCTATCCAAATATCCACTTGCAGATTCCACAGAAAGACTGTTTCAAAACTGCTATGTCAATAGAAAGGTTCAACTCTGTTAGCTGCGTGCATATATCCCAAAGAAGATTCTGAGATTGCTTCTGTCTAGTTTTTATGGGAAGATATTTCCCTTTTTACCGTAGGCGTCAAGGCGCTCCAAATGTCCACTTCCAGATACTACAAAAAGAGTTTTTCAAACCTACTCGGTGAAAGGGAATATTCAACTCTGTGACTTGAATGCACATATCACAAAGAAGTTTCTGAGAATGCTTCTGTCGAGATTTTATATGAAGATATTCCCGTTTCCAACGAAATGCTGAAATGTATCCAAATATCCCCACGCAGATTCTACAAAAAGAGTGTTTCAAAACTGCTCTGTAAAAAGAAAGGTTCAACTCTGTTAGTTGAGTACACACATCACAAACAAGTTTCACAGAATGCTTCTTTCTAGCTCGTAGGGGAAGATATTCCCTTTATCACCATGGGCCTCAAACCGTCCGAAACGTCCACTTCCATATACTACAAAAAGAGCGTTTCAAACCTGCTCTATGAAAGGCAATGTTCAACTCTGTGACTTGAATGCAGACATCACAGAACAGTTTCTGAGAATGCTTCTGTCTAGATTTTATAGGAAGTTATTCCCGTTTCCAACGAAATCTTCACAGCTATCCAAATATCCACTTGCAGATTCTACAAAAAGAGTGTATCAAAACTGCTCTGTCAAAAGGAAGGTTCTTCTCTCTTAGGTGAGTGCATACGTCGTAAAGGAGTTTCTGAGAATGTTTCTGTCTAGTGGTTATGGGAAGATATTTGCTTTTTACCGTAGGCCTCAGAGCGCTCCAAATATCCACTTGCACATACTACAAAAAGAGTGCTTCAAAGCTGGTCTCTGAAACGGAATGTTCAACTCTATGAGTTGAATGCAAACATCACAAAGACGTTTCTGAGAATGCTTCTGTCTAGATTTGATATGAAGATATTCCCGTTTCCAACGAAATCTTCAAATCTATCCAAATGTCCACTTGCAGATTCAACAAAAAGTGTTTTTCAGAACTGCTCAATCAAAAGAAAGATCCACCTGTGTTAGCTGAGTTCACACATCACAAACAAGTTTATGAGAATGCTATCTGTCTAGTTTTTATTTGAAGATATTTCCTTTCTCACCATAGACGTGAAAGCTGTCCTAATGTTCACTTCCAGATACTACAGAAAGAGTTTTTCAAAACTGCTGTACGAAAGGGAATGTTCAACTCTGTGACTTGAATGCACACAACACAAAGAAGTTTCTGAGGATGCTGCTGTCTACTTTTTATACGTAATCCCGTTTCCAACGAAATCCTCCAAGCTATCCAAATATCCACTTGCAGATTCCACAGAAAGACTGTTTCAAAACTGCTCTGTCAATACAAAGGTTCAACTCTGTTAGCTGCGTGCATATATCCCAAAGTAGATTCTGAGATTGCTTCTGTCTAGTTTTTATGGGAAGATATTTCCCTTTTCACCGTAGGTGTCAAGGCGCTCCAAATGTCCACTTCCAGATACTACAAAAAGAGTGTTTCAAACCTACTCTGTGAAAGGGAATATTCAACCCTGTGACTTGAATGCAGATATCACAAAGAAGTTTCTGAGAATGCTTCGGTCGAGATTTTATATGAAGATATTCCCGTTTCCAACGAAATCCTGAAATGTATCCAAATATCCCCTCGCAGATTCTACAAAAAGAGTGTTTCAAAACTGCTCTGTAAAAAGAAAGGTTCAACTCTGTTAGTTGAGTACACACATCACAAACAAGTTTCACAGAATGCTTCTTTCTAGCTTGTAGGGGAAGATATTCCCTTTATCACCATGGGCCTCAAACCGTCCGAAACGTCCACTTCCATATACTTCAAAAAGAGCGTTTCAAACCTGCTCTATGAAAGGCAATGTTCAACACTGTGACTTGAATGCAGACATCACAGAGCTGTTTCTGAGAATGCTTCTGTATAGATTTTATAGGAAGATATTCCCGTTTCCAACGAAATCTTCACAGCTATCCAAATATCCACTTGCAGATTCTACAAAAAGAGTGTTTCAAAACTGCTCTGTCAAAAGGAAGGTTCTTCTCTGTTAGGTGAGTGCATACGTCATAAAGGAGTTTCTGAGAATGTTTCTGTCTAGTGGTTATGGGAAGATATTTGCTTTTTCACCGTAGGCCTCAGAGCGCTCCAAATATCCACTTGCACATACTACAAAAAGAGTGCTTCAAAGCTGGTCTCTGAAACGGAATGTTCAACTCTATGAGTTGAATGCAAACATCACAAAGACGTTTCTGAGAATGCTTCTGTCTAGATTTGATATGAAGATATTCCCGTTTCCAACGACATCTTCAAATCTATCCAAATGTCCACTTGCAGATTCAACAAAAAGTGTTTTTCAGAACTGCTCTATCAAAAGAAAGATCCACGTGTGTTAGCTGAGTTCACACATCACAAACAAGTTTATGAGAATGCTTCTGTCTAGTGTTTATTTGAAGATATTTCCTTTCTCACCATAGACCTGAAAGCTGTCCTAATGTTCACTTCCAGATACTACAGAAAGAGTGTTTCAAAACTGCTGTACGAAAGGGAATGTTCAACTCTGTGACTTGAATGCACACATCACAAAGAAGTTTCTGAGGATGCTGCTGTCTACTTTTTATACGTAATCCCATTTCCAACGAAATCCTCCAAGCTATCCAAATATCCACTTGCAGATTCCACAGAAAGACTGTTTCAAAACTGCTCTGTCAATAGAAAGGTTCAACTCTGTTAGCTGCGTGCATATATCCCAAAGAAGATTCTGAGATTGCCTCTGTCTAGTTTTTATGGGAAGATATTTCCCTTTTCACCGTAGGTGTCAAGGCGCTCCAAATGTCCACTTCCAGATACTACAAAAAGAGTGTTTCAAACCTTCTCTATGGAAGGGAATATTGAACTCTGTGACTTGAATGCAGATATCACGAAGAAGTTTCTGAAAATGCTTCTGTCGAGATTTTATATGAAGATATTCCCGTTTCCAACGAAATCCTGAAATCTATCAAATATCCCCTCGCAGATTCTACAAAAAGAGTGTTTCAAAACTGCTCTGTAAAAAGAAAGGTTCAACTCTGTTAGTTGAGTACACACATCACAAACAAGTTTCACAGAATGCTTCTTTCTAGCTTGTAGGGGAAGATATTCCCTTTATCACCATGGGCCTCAAACCATCCGAAACGTCCACTTCCATATACTACAAAAAGAGCTTTTCAAAGCTGCTCTAGGAAAGGCAATGTTCAACTCTGTGACTTGAATGCAGACATCACAGAGCAGTTTCTGAGAATGCTTCTGTCTAGATTTTATAGGAAGATATTCCCGTTTCCAAAGAAATCTTCACAGCTATCCAAATATCCACTTGCAGATTCTACAAAAAGAGTGTATCAAAACTGCTCTGTCAAAAGGAAGGTTCTTCTCTGTTAGTTGAGTGCATACGTCATAAAGCAGTTTCTGAGAATGTTTCTGTCTAGCGGTTATGGGAAGATATTTGCTTTTTCACCGTAGGCCTCAGAGCGCTCCAAATATCCACTTGCAGATATTACAAAAAGAGTGCTTCAAAGCTGCTCTCTGAAACGGAATGTTCAACTCTATGAGTTGAATGCAAACATCACAAAGACGTTTCTGAGAATGCTTTTGTCTAGATTTGATATGAAGATATTCCCGTTTCCAACGAAATCTTCAAATCTATCCAAATGTCCACTTGCAGATTCAACAAAAAGTGTTTTTCAGAACTGCTCTATCAAAAGAAAGTTCCACCTCTGTTAGCTGAGTTCACACATCACAAACAAGTTTATGAGAATGCTTCTGTCTAGTTTTTACTTGAAGATATTTCCTTTCTCACCATAGACCTGAAAGCTGTCCTAATGTTCACTTCCAGATACTACAGAAAGAGTGTTTCAAAACTGCTGTACGAAAGGGAATGTTCAACACTGTGACTTGAATGCACACATCACAAAGAAGTTTCTGAGGATGCTGCTGTCTACTTTTTATACTTAATCCCGTTTCCAACGAAATCCTCCAAGCTATCCAAATATCCACTTGCAGATTCCACAGAAAGACTGTTTCAAGACTGCTCTGTCAATAGAAAGGTTCAACTCTGTTAGCTGCGTGCATATATCCCAAAGAAGATTCTGAGATTGCTTCTGTCTAGTTTTTATGGGAAGATATTTCCCTTTTCACCGTAGGTGTCAAGGCGCTCCAAATGTCCACTTCCAGATACTACAAAAAGAGTGTTTCAAACCTACTCTGTGAAAGCGAATATTCAACTCTGTGACTTGAATGCAGATATCACAATGAAGTTTCTGAGAATGCTTCTGTCGAGATTATATATGAAGATATTCCCGTTTCCAACGAAATGCTGAAATGTATCCAAATATCCCCTCACAGATTCTACAAAAAGAGTGTTTCAAAACTGCTCTGTAAAAAGAAAGGTTCAACTCTGTTAGTTGAGTACACACATCACAAACAAGTTTCACAGAATGCTTCTTTCTAGCTTGTAGGAGAAGATATTTCCTTTATCACCATGGGCCTCAAACCGTCCGAAACGTCCACTTCCATATACTAAAAAAAGAGTGTTTGAAACCTGCTCTATGAAAGGCAATGTTCAACTCTGTGACTTGAATGCAGACATCACAGAGCAGTTTCTGAGAATGCTTCTGTCTAGGTTTTATAGGAAGATATTCCCGTTTCCAACGAAATCTTCACAGCTATCCAAATATCCACTTGCAGATAGTACAAAAAGAGTGTATCAAAAATGCTCTGTCAAAAGGAAAGTTCTTCTCTGTTAGTTGAGTACATACGTCATAAAGGAGTTTCTGAGAGTGTTTCTGTCTAGTGGTTATGGGAAGATATTTGCTTTTTCACCGTAGGCCTCAGAGCGCTCCAAATATCCACTTGCACATACTACAAAAAGAGTGCTTCAAAGCTGCTCTCTGAACCGCAATGTTCAATTCTATGAGTTGAATGCAAACATCACAAAGACGTTTCTGAGAATGCTTCTCTCTAGATTTGATATGAAGATATTCCCGTTTCCAACGAAATCTTCAAATCTATCCAAATGTCCACTTGCAGATTCAACAAAAAGTGTTTTTCAGAACTGCTCTATCAAAAGAAAGATCCACGTGTGTTAGCTGAGTTCACACATCACAAACAAGTTTATGAGAATGCTTCTGTCTAGTTTTTATTTGAAGATATTTCCTTTCTCATCATAGAGCTGAAAGCTGTCCTAATGTTCACTTCCAGATACTACAGAAAGAGTGTTTCAAAACTGCTGTACGAAAGGGAATGTTCAACTCTGTGACTTGAATGCACACATCACAAAGAAGTTTCTGAGGATGCTGCTGTCTACTTTTTATACGTAATCCCGTTTCCAATGAAATCCTCCAAGCTATCCAAATATCCACTTGCAGATTCCACAGAAAGACTGTTTCAAAACTGCTCTGTCAATAGAAAGGTTCAACTCTATTAGCTGCGTACATATATCCCAAAGAAGATTCTGAGATTGCTTCTGTCTAGTTTTTATGGGAAGATATTTCATATTTCCTTTTTCACCGTAGGTGTCAAGGCGCTCCAAATGTCCACTTCCAAATACTACAAAAAGAGTGTTTCAAAAATACTCTGTGAAAGGGAATATTCAACCCTGTGACTTGAATGCAGGTATCACAAAGAGGTTTCTCAGAATGCTTCTGTCGAGATTTTATATGAAGATATTCCCGTTTCCAACGAAATCCTGAAATCTATCCAAATATCCCCTCGCAGATTCTACAAAAAGAGTGTTTCAAAACTGCTCTGTAAAAAGAAAGGTTCAACTCTGTTAGTTGAGTACACACATCACAAACAAGTTTCGCAGAATGCTTCTTTCTAGCTTGTAGGGGAAGATATTTCCTTTATCACCATGGGCCTCAAACCGTCCGAAACGTCCACTTCCATATACTAAAAAAAGAGTGCTTGAAACCTGCTCTATGAAAGGCAATGTTCAACTCTGTGACTTGAATGCAAACATCAAAGAGCAGTTTCTGAGAATGCTTCTGTCCGGACTTTATAGGAAGATATTCCCGATTCCAACGAAATCTTCACAGCTATCCAAATATCCACTTGCAGATACTACAAAAAGAGTGTATCAAAAATGCTCTGTCAAAAGGAAAGTTCTTCTCTGCTAGTTGAGTACATACGTCATAAAGAAGTTTCTGAGAATGTTTCTGTCTAGTGGTTATGGGAAGATATGTGCTTTTTCACCGTAGGCCTCAGAGCGCTCCAAATATCCACTTGCACATACTACAAAAAGAGTGCTTCAAAGCTGGTCTCTGAAACGGAATGTTCAACTCTATGAGTTGAATGCAAACATCACAAAGACGTTTCTGAGAATGCTTCTGTCTAGATTTGATATGAAGATATTCCCGTTTCCAACGAAATCTTCAAATCTATCCCTAAATGTCCACTTGCAGATTCAACAAAAAGTGTTTTTCAGAACTGCTCTATCAAAAGAAAGATCCACCTCTGTTAGCTGAGTTCACACATCACAAACAAGTTTATGAGAATGCTTCTGTCTAGTTTTTATTTGAAGATATATCCTTTCTCACTATAGACCTGAAAGCTGTCCTAAAGTTCGCTTCCAGATACTACAGAAAGAGTGTTTCAAAACTGCTGTACGAAAGGGAATGTTCAACTCTGTGACTTGAATGCACACATCACAAGGATGTTTCTGAGGATGCTGCTGTCTACTTTTTATACGTAATCCCGTTTCCAACGAAATCCTCCAATCTATCCAAATATCCACTTGCAGATACCACAGAAAGACTGTTTCAAAACTGCTCTGTCACTAGAAAGGTTCAACTCTGTTAGCTGCGTGCATATATCCCAAAGAAGATTCTGAGATTGCTTCTGTCTAGTTTTTATGGGAAGATATTTCCCTTTTCACCGTAGGTGTCAAGGCGCTCCAAATGTCCACTTCCAGATACTACAAAAAGAGTGTTTCAAACCTATTCTGTGAAAGGGAATATTCAACTCTGTGACTTAAAGGCAGATATCACAAAGAAGTTTCTGAGAATGCTTCTGTCGAGATTTTATATGAAGATATTCCCGTTTCCAACGAAATCCTGAAATGTATCCAAATATCCCCTCGCAGATTCTACAAAAAGAGTGTTTCAAAACTGCTCTGTAAAAAGAAAGGTTCAACTGTGTTAGTTGAGTACACACATCACAAACAAGTTTCACAGAATGCTTCTTTCTAGCTTGTAGGGGAAGATATTCCCTTTATCACCATGGGCCTCAAACCGTCCGAAACGTCCACTTCCATATACTACAAAAAGAGTGTTTCAAACCTGCTCTATGAAAGGCAATGTTCAACTCTGTGACTTGAATGCAGACATCACAGAGCACTTTCTGAGAATTATTCTGTCTAGATTTTATAGGAAGATATTCCCGTTTCCATCGAAATCTTCACAGCTATCCAAATATCCACTTGCAGATTCTACAAAAAGAGTGTATCAAAACTGCTCTTTCAAAAGGAAGGTTCTTCTCTGTTAGTTGAGTACATACGTCATAAAGGAGTTTCTGAGAATGTTTCTGTCTAGTGGTTATGGGAAGATATTTGTTTTTCACCGTAGGCCTCAGAGCGCTCCAAATATCCACTTGCACATACTACAAAAAGAGTGCTTCAAACCTGCTCTCTGAAACGGAATGTTCAACTCTATGAGTTGAATGCAAACATCACAAAGACGTTTCTGAGAATGCTTCTGTCTAGATTTGATATGAAGATATTCCCGTTTCCAACGAAATCTTCAAATCTATCCAAATGTCCAGTTGCAGATTCAACAAAAAGTGTTTTTCAGAACTGCTCTATGAAAAGAAAGATCCACCTCTGTTAGCTGAGTTCACACATCACAAACAAGTTTATGAGAATGCTTCTGTCTAGTTTTTATTTGAAGATATTCCCTTTCTCACCATAGACCTGAAAGCTGTCCTAATGTTCACTTCCAGATACTACAGAAAGAGTGTTTCAAAACTGCTGTACGAAAGGGAATGTTCAACTCTGTGACTTGAATGCACACATCACAAAGAAGTTTCTGAGGATGCTGCTGTCTACTTTTTATACGTAATCCCGTTTCCAGCGAAATCCTCCAATCTATCCAAATATCCACTTGCAGATTCCACAGAAAGACTGTTTCAAAACTGCTCTGTCAATAGAAAGGTTCAACTCTGTTAGCTGCCTGCATATATCCCAAAGAAGATTCTGAGATTGATTCTGTCTAGTTTTTATGTGAAGATATTTCCCTTTTCACCGTAGGTGTCAAGGCGCTCCAAATGTCCACTTCCAGATACTACAAAAAGAGTGTTTCAAACCTACTCTGTGAAAGGGAATATTCAACTCTGTGACTTGAATGCAGATATCACAATGAAGTTTCTGAGAATGCTTCTGTCGAGATTTTATATGAAGATATTCCCGTTTCCAACGAAATCCTGAAAACTATCCAAATATCCCCTCGCAGATTCTACAAAAAGAGTGTTTCAAAACTGCTCTGTAAAAAGAAAGGTTCAACTCTGTTAGTTGAGTACACACATCACAAAAAAGTTTCACAGAATGCTTCTTTCTAGCTTGTAGGGGAAGATATTCCCTTTATCACCATGGGCCTCAAACCGTCCGAAACGTCTACTTCCATATACTACAAAAAGAGCGTTTCAAACCTGCTCTATGAAAGGCAATGTTCAACTCTGTGACTTGAATGCAGACATCACAGATCAGTTTCTGAGAATGCTTCTGTCCGGACTTTATAGGAAGATATTCCCGATTCCAACGAAATCTTCACAGCTATCCAAATATCCACTTGCAGATACTACAAAAAGAGTGTATCAAAAATGCTCTGTCAAAAGGAAAGTTCTTCTCTGCTAATTGAGTACATACGTCATAAAGAAGTTTCTGAGAATGTTTTCTGTCTAGTGGTTATGGGAAGATATTTGCTTTTTCACCTTAGGCCTCAGAGCGCTCCAAATATCCCCTTGCACATACTACAAAAAGAGTGCTTCAAAGCTGTTCTCTGAAAGGGAATGTTCAACTCTATGAGTTGAATGCAAACATCACAAAGACGTTTCCGAGAATTCTTCTGTCTAGATTTGATATGAAGATATTCCCGTTTCCAACGAAATCTTCAAATCTATCCAAATGTCCACTTGCAGATTCAACAAAAAGTGTTTTTCAGAACTGCTCTATCAAAAGAAAGGTCCACCTCTGTTAGCTGAGTTCAGACATCACAAACAAGTTTATGAGAATGCTTCTGTCTAGTTTTTATTTGAAGATATTTCCTTTCTCACCATAGACCTGAAAGCTGAACTAATGTTCACTTCCAGATGCTACAGAAAGAGTGTTTCAAAACTGCTGTACGAAAGGGAATGTTCAACTCTGTGACTTGAATGCACACATCACAAAGAAGTTTCTGAGGATGCTGCTGTCTACTTTTTATACGTAATCCCGTTTCCAACGAAATCCTCCAAGCTATCCAAATATCCACCTGCAGATTCCACAGAAAGACTGTTTCAAAACTGCTCTGTCAATAGAAAGGTTCAACTCTGTTAGGTGCGTGCATATATCCCAAAGAAGATTCTGAGATTGCTTCTGTCTAGTTTTTATGGGAAGATATTTCCCTTTTCACCGTAGGCGTCAAGGCGATCCAAATGTCCACTTCCAGATACTACAAAAAGATTGTTTCAAACTTACTCTGTGAAAGGGAATATTCAACTCTGTGACTTGAATGCCGATATCACAAAGAAGTTTCTGAGAATGCTTCTGTCGAGATTTTATATGAAGATATTCCCGTTCCCAACGAAATCTTGAAATCTATCCAAATACCCCTCGCAGATTCTACAAAAAGAGTGTTTCAAAACTGCTCTGTAAAAGAAAGGTTCAACTCTGTTAGTTGAGTACACACATCACAAACAAGTTTCACAGAATGCTTCTTTCTAGCTTGTAGGGGAAGATATTCCCTTTATCACCATGGGCCTCCAACCGTCTGAAACATCCACTTCCATATACTACAAAAAGAGCGTTTCAAACCTGCTCTATGAAAGGCAATGTTCAACTCTGTGACTTGAATGCAGACATCACAGAGCAGTTTCTGAGAATGCTTCTGTGTAGATTTTATAGGAAGATATTCCCGTTTCCAACGAAATCTTCACAGCTATCCAAATATCCACTTGCATATTCTACAAAAAGAGTGTATCAAAACTGCTCTGTCAAAAGGAAGGTTCTTCTCTGTTAGGTGAGTGCATACGTCATAAAGGAGTTTCTGAGAATGTTTCTGTTTAGTGGTTATGGGAAGATATTTGCTTTTTCACCTTAGGCCTCAGAGCGCTCCAAATATCCCCTTGAACATACTACAAAAAGAGTGCTTCAAAGCTGCTCTCTGAAACGGAATGTTCAACTCTATGAGTTGAATGCAAACATGACAAAGACGTTTCCGAGAATGCTTCTGTCTAGATTTGATATGAAGATATTCCCGTTTCCAACGAAATCTTCAAATCTATCCAAATCTCCACTTGCAGATTCAACAAAAAGTGTTTTTCAGAACTGCTCTATCAAAAGAAAGATCCACCTCTGTTAGCTGAGTTCACACATCACAAACAAGTTTATGAGAATGCTTATCTGTCTAGTTTTTATTTGAAGATATTTCCTTTCTCACCATAGAGCTGAAAGCTGTCCTAATGTTCACTTCCAGATACTACAGAAAGAGTGTTTCAAAACTGCTGTACGAAAGGGAATGTTCAACTATGTGACTTGAATGCACACATCACAAAGAAGTTTCTGAGGATGCTGCTGTCTACTTTTTATACGTAATCCCGTTTCCAACGAAATCCTCCAAGCTATCCAAATATCCACTTGCAGATTCCACAAAAAGAGTGTTTCAAAACCGCTCTGTCAATACAAAGGTTCAACTCTGTTAGCTGCGTGCATACATCCCAAAGAACATTCTGAGGTTGCTTCTGTCTAGTTTTTAGGGGAAGATATTTCCTTTTTCACAATAGGCGTCAAAGCGATCCAAATGTCCAATTCCAGATACTACAAAAAGAGTGTTTCAAACCTACTCTGTGAAAGGGAGTATTCAAGTCTGTGACTTCAATGCAGATATCACAATGAAGTTTCTGAGAATGCTTCGGTCTTCTGTCGAGATTTTATATGAAGATATTCCCTTTTCCAACGAAATCCTGAAATCTATCCAAATATCCCCTCGCAGATTCTACAAAAAGAGTGTTTCAAAACTGCTCTGTAAAAAGAAAGGTTCAACTCTGTTAGCTGAGTACACACATCACAAACAAGTTTCACAGAATGTTTCTTTCTAGCTTGTAGGGGAAGATATTCCCTTTATCAGCATGGGCCTCCAACCGTCCGAAACATCCACTTCCATATACTACAAAAAGAGCGTTTCAAACCTGCTCTATGAAAGGCAATGTTCAACTCTGTGACTTGAATACAGACATCACAGAGCAGTTTCTGAGAATGCTTCTGTCTAGATTTTATAGGAAGATATTCCCGTTTCCAACGAAATCTTCACAGCTATCCAAATATCCACTTGCAGATTATACAAAAAGAGTGTATCAAAACTGCTCTGTCAAAAGGAAGGTTCTTCTCTGTTAGTTGAGTACATACGTCATAAAGGAGTTTCTGAGAATGTTTCTGTCTAGTGGTTATGGGAAGATATTTGCTTTTTCACCTTAGGCCTCAGAGCGCTCAAAATATCCCCTTGCACACACTACAAAAAGAGTGCTTCAAAGCTGCTCTCTGAAACGGAATGTTCAACTCTATGGGTTGAATGCAAACATCACAAAGACGTTTCTGAGAATGCTTCTGTCTAGATTTGATATGAAGATATTCCCGTTTCCAACGAAATCTTCAAATCTATCCAAATGTCCACTTGCAGATTCAACAAAAGTGATTTTCAGAACTGCTCTATCAAAAGAAAGATCCACGTGTGTTAGCTGAGTTCACACATCACAAACAAGTTTATGAGAATGCTTCTGTCTAGTTTTTATTTGAAGATATTTCCTTTCTCACCATAGACCTGAAAGCTGTCCTAATGTTCACTTCCAGATACTACAGAAAGAGTGTTTCAAAACTGCTGTACGAAAGGGAATGTTCAACTCTGTGACTTGAATGCACACATCACAAAGAAGTTCCTGAGGATGCTGCTGTCTACTTTTTATACGTAATCACGTTTCCAACGAAATCCTCCAAGCTATCCAAATATCCACTTGCAGATTCCACAGAAAGACTGTTTCAAAACTGCTCTGTCAATAGAAAGGTTCAACTCTGCTAGCTACGTGCATATATCCCAAAGAAGATTCTGAGATTGCTTCTGTCTAGTTTTTATGGGAAGATATTTCCCTTTTCACCGTAGGCGTCAAGGCGCTCCAAATGTCCACTTCCAGATACTACAAAAAGAGTGTTTCAAACCTACTCTGTGGAAGGGAATATTCAACTCTGTGACTTGAATGCAGATATCACAAAGAAGATTCTGAGAATGCTTCTGTCGAGATTTTATATGAAGATATTCCCCTTTCCAACGAAATCCTGAAATCTATCCAAATATCCCCTCGCAGATTCTACAAAAACAGTGTTTCAAAACTGCTCTGTAAAAAGAAAGGTTCAACTCTGTTAGTTGAGTACACACATCACAAACAAGTTTCACAGAATGCTTCTTTCTAGCTTGTAGGGAAAGATATTCCCTTTATCACCATGGGCCTCAAACCGTCCGAAACGTCCACTTCCATATACTACAAAAAGAGCGTTTCAAACCTGCTCTATGAAAGGCAATGTTCAACTCCGTGACTTGAATGCAGACATCACAGAGCAGTTTCTGAGAATGCTTCTGTCTAGATTTTATAGGAAGATATTCCCGTTTCCAACGAAATCTTCACAGCTGTCCAAATATCCACTTGCAGATTCTACAAAAAGAGTGTATCAAAACTACTCTGTCAAAAGGAAGGTTCTTCTCTATTAGTTGAGTGCATACGTCATAAAGGAGTTTCTGAGAATGTTTCTGTCTAGTGGTTATGGGAAGATATTTGCTTTTTCACCGTAGGCGTCAGAGCTCTCCAAATATCCAGTTGCACATACTACAAAAAGAGTGCTTCAAAGCTGCTCTCTGAAACGGAATGTTCAACTCTATGAGTTGAATGCAAACATCACAAAGACGTTTCTGAGAATGCTTCTGTCTAGATTTGATATGAAGATATTCCCGTTTCCAAAGAAATCTTCAAATCTATCCAAATGTCCACTTGCAGATTCAACAAAAAGTGTTTTTCAAAAGTGCTGTATAAAAAGAAAGAAGCACCTCTGTTAGTTGAGTTCACACATCAAAACAAGTTTATGAGAATGCTTCTGTCTAGTTTTTATTTGAAGATATTTCCTTTCTCACCATAGACCTGAAAGCTGTCCTAATGTTCACTTCCAGATACTACAGAAAGAGTGTTTCAAAACTGCTGTACGAAAGGGAATGTTCAACTCTGTGACTTGAATGCAGACATCACAAGGAAGTTTCTGAGGATGCTGCTGTCTACTTATTATACGTAATCCCGTTTCCAACGAAATCCTCCAAGCTATCCAAATATCCACTTGCAGATTCCACAGAAAGACTCTTTCAAAACTGCTCTGTCAATAGAAACGTTCAACTCTGTTAGCTGCGTGCATATATCCCAAAGAAGATTCTGAGATTGCTTCTGTCTAGTTTTTATGGGAAGATATTTCCCTTTTCACCGTAGGTGTCAAGGCGCTCCAAATGTCCACTTCCAGATACTACAAAAAGAGTGTTTCAAACCTACTCTGTGAAAGGGAATATTCAACTCTGTGACTTGAATGCACATATCACAAAGAAGTTTCTGAAAATGCTTCTGTCGAGATTTTATATGAAGATATTCCTGTTTCCAACGAAATGCTGAAATGTATCCAAATATCCCATCGCAGATTCTACAAAAAGAGTGTTTCAAAACTGCTCTGTAAAAAGAAAGGTTCAACTCTGTTAGTTGAGTACACACATCACAAACAAGTTTCACAGAATGCTTCTTTCTAGCTTGTAGGGGAAGATATTTCCTTTATCACCATGGGCCTCAAACCGTCCGAAACGTCCACTTCCATATACTACAAAAAGAGCGTTTTAAACCTGCTCTATGAAAGGCAATCGTCAACTCTGTGACTTGAATGCAGACATCACAGAGCAGTTTCTGAGAATGCTTCTGTCTAGATTTTATAGGAAGATATTCCCGTTTCCAACGAAATCTTCCCAGCTATCCAAATATCCACTTGCAGATTCTACAAAAAGAGTGTATCAAAACTGCTCTGTCAAAAGGAAGGTTTTTCTCTGTTAGGTGAGTGCATACGTCATAAAGGAGTTTCTGAGAATGTTTCTGTCTAGTGGTTATGGGAAGATATTTGCTTTTTCACCGTAGGCCTCAGAGCGCTCCAAATATCCACTTGCACATACTACAAAAAGAGTGCCTCAAAGCTGCTCTCTGAAACGGAATGTTCAACTCTATGAGTTGAATGCAAACATCACAAAGACGTTTCTGCGAATGCTTCTGTCTAGGATTTGATATGAAGATATTCCCGTTACCAACGAAATCTTCAAATCTATCCAAATGTCCACTTGCAGATTCAACAAAAAGTGTTTTTCAGAACTGCTCTATCAAAAGAAAGATCCACCTCTGTTGGCTGAGTTCACACATCACAAACAAGTTTATGAGAATGCTTCTGTCTAGTTTTTATTTGAAGATATTTCCTTTCTCACCATAGACCTGAAAGCTGTCCTAATGTTCACTTCCAGATACTACAGAAAGAGTGTTTCAAAACTGCTGTACGAAAGGGAATGTTCAACTCTGTGACTTGAATGCACACGTCACAAAGAAGTTTCTGAGGATGCTGCTGTCTACTTTTTATACGTAATCCCGTTTCCAAAGAAATCCTCTAAGCTATCCAAATATCCACTTGCAGATTCCACAGAAAGACTGTTTCAAAACGGGTCTGTCAATAGAAAGGTTCAACTCTGTTAGCTGCGTACATATATCCCAAAGAAGATTCTGAGATTGCTTCTGTCTAGTTTTTATGGGAAGATATTACCCTTTTCACCGTAGGCGTCAAGGCGCTCCAAATGTCCACTTCCAGATACTACAAAAAGAGTGTTTCAAACCTACTCTGTGAAAGGGAATATTCAACTCTGTGACTTGAATGCACATATCACAAGGAAGTTTCTGAGAATGCTTCTGTCGAGATTTTATATGAAGATATTCCCCTTTCCAACGAAATCCTGAAATCTATCCAAATATCCCCTCGCAGATTCTACAAAAAGAGTGTTTCAAAACTGCTCTGCAAAAAGAAAGGTTCAACTCTGTTAGTGGAGTACACACATCACAAACAAGTTTCACAGAATGCTTCTTTCTAGCTTGTAGGGGAAGATATTTCCTTTATCACCATGGGCCTCAAACCGTCCGAAACGTCCACTTCCATATACTAAAAAAAGAGTGCTTGAAACCTGCTCTATGAAAGGCAATGTTCAACTCTGTGACTTGAATGCAGACATCACAGAGCAGTTTCTGAGAATCCTTCTGTCTAGATTTTATAGGAAGATATTCCCGTTTCCAACGAAATCTTTACAGCTATCCAAATATCCACTTGCAGATTCTACAAAAAGAGTGTATCAAAACTGCTCTGTCAAAAGGAAGGTTCTTCTCTGTTAGGTGAGTGCATACCGTCATAAAGGAGTTTCTGAGAATGTTTCTGTCTAGTGGTTATGGGAAGATATTTGCTTTTTCCCCGTAGGCCTCAGAGCGCTCCAAATATCCACTTGCACATACTACAAAAAGAGTGCCTCAAATCTGCTCTCTGAAACGGAATGTTCAACTCTATGAGTTGAATGCAAACATCACAAAGACGTTTCTGAGAATGCTTCTGTCTAGATTTGATATGAAGATATTCCCGTTTCCAACGAAATCTTCAAATCTATCCAAATGTCCACTTGCAGATTCAACAAAAAGTGTTTTTCAGAACTGCTCTATCAAAAGAAAGATCCACCTCTGTTAGCTGAGTTCAGACATCACAAACAAGTTTATGAGAAGGCTTCTGTCTAGTTTTTATTTGAAGATATTTCCTTTCTCACCATAGACCTGAAAGCTCTCCTAGTGTTCACTTCCAGATACTACAGAAAGAGTGTTTCAAAACTGCTGTACGAAAGGGAATGTTCAACTCTGTGACTTGAATGCACACATCACAAAGAAGTTTCTGAGGATTCTGCTGTCTACTTTTTATACGTAATCCCGTTTCCAACGAAATCCTCCAAGCTATCCAAATATCCACTTGCAGATTCCACAGAAAGACTGTTTCAAAACTGCTATGTCAATAGAAAGGTTCAACTCTATTAGCTGCGTACATATATCCCAAAGAAGATTCTGAGATTGCTTCTGTCTAGTTTTTATGGGAAGATATTTCCCTTTTCACCGTAGGCGTCAAGGCGCTCCAAATGTCCACTTCCAGATACTACAAAAAGAGTGTTTCAAACCTAATCTGTGAAAGGGAATATTCAACTCTGTAACTTGAATGCACATATCACAAAGAAGTTTCTGAGAATGCTTCTGTCGAGATTTTATATGAAGATATTCCCGTTTCCAAAGAAATCCTGAAATCTATCCAAATATCCCCTCGCAGATTCTACAAAAAGAGAGTTTCAAAACTGCTCTGTAAAAAGAAAGGTTCAACTCTGTTAGTTGAGTACACACATCACAAACAAGTTCCACACAATGCTTCTTTCTAGCTTGTAGGGGAAGATATTCCCTTTATCACCATGGGCCTCCAACCGTCCGAAACATCCACTTCCATATACTACAAAAAGAGCGTTTCAAACCTGTTCTATGAAAGGCAATGTTCAACTCTGTGACTTGAATGCAGACATCACAGAGCAGTTTCTGAGAATGCTTCTGTCTAGATTTTATAGGAAGATATTCCCGTTTCCAACGAAATCTTCACAACTATCCAAATATCCACTTGCAGATTCTACAAAAAGAGTGTATCAAAACTGCTCTGTCAAAAGGAAAGTTCTTCTCTGCTAGTTGAGTACATACGTCATAAAGAAGTTTCTGAGAATGTTTTCTGTCTAGTGGTTATGGGAAGATATTTGCTTTTTCACCGTAGGCCTCAGAGCGCTCCAAATATCCACTTGCACATACTACAAAAAGAGTGTTTCAAAGCTGCTCTCTGAAAGGGAATGTTCAACTCTATGAGTTGAATGCAAACATCACAAAGACGTTTCTGAGAATGCTTCTGTCTAGATTTGTTATGAAGATATACCCGTTTCCAACGAAATCTTCAAATCTATGCAAATGTCCACTTGCAGATTCAACAAAGTGTTTTTCAAAACTGCTGTATCAAAAGAAAGATCCACCTGTGTTAGCTGAGTTCACACTTCACAAACAAGTTTATCAGAATTCTCTGTCTAGTTTTTATTTGAATATATTTCCTTTCTCACCATAGACCTGAAAGCTGTCCTAATGTTCACTTCCAGATACTACAGAAAGAGTGTTTCAAAACTGCTGTACGAAAGGGAATGTTCAACTCTGTGACTTGAATGCACACATCACAAAGAAGTTTCTGAGGATGCTGGCTGTCTACTTTTTATACGTAATCCCGTTTCCAAAGAAATCCTCCAAGCTATCCAAATATCCACTTGCAGATTCCACAGAAAGACTGTTTCAAAACTGCTCTGTCAATAGAAAGGTTCAACTCTGTTAGCTGCGTGCATATATCCCAACGAAGATTCTGAGATTGCTTCTGTCTAGTTTTTATGGGAAGATATTTCCCTTTTCACCGTAGGCGTCAAGGCGCTCCAAATGTCCACTTCCAGATACTACAAAAAGAGTGTTTCAAACCTACTCTGTGAAAAGGAATATTCAACTCTGTGACTTGAATGCACATATCACAAGGAAGTTTCTGAGAATGCTTCTGTCGAGATTTTGTATGAAGATATTCCCGTTTCCAACGAAATCCTGAAATCTATCCAAATATCCCCTCGCAGATTCTACAAAAAGAGTGTTTCAAAACTGCCCTGTGAAAAGAAAGGTTCAACTCTCTTAGTTGAGTACACACATCACAAACAAGTTTCACAGAATGCTTCTTTCTAGCTTGTAGGGGAAGATATTCCCTTTATCACCATGGGCCTCAAACCGTCCGATAATTCCACTTCCATATACTACAAAAAGAGCGTTTCAAACCTGCTCTATGAAAGGCAATGTTCAACTCTGTGACTTGAATGCAGACATCACAGAGCAGTTTCTGAGAATGCTTCTGTCTAGATTTTATAGGAAGATATTCCCGTTTCCAAGGAAATCTTCGCAGCTATCCAAATATCCACTTGCAGATTCTACAAAAGGAGTGTATCAAAACTGCTCTGTCAAAAGGAAGGTTCTTCTCTGTTAGGTGAGTGCATACGTCATAAAGGAGTTTCTGAGAATGTTTCTGTCTAGTGGTTATGGGAAGATATTTGCTTTTTCACCTTAGGCCTCAGAGCGCTCCAAATATCCCCTTGCACATACTACAAAAAGAGTGCTTCAAAGCTGCTCTCTGAAAGGGAATGTTCAACTCTATGAGATGAATGCAAACATCACAAAGACGTTTCTGAGAATGCTTCTGTCTAGCATTTGATATGAAGATATTCCCGTTTCCAACGAAATCTTCAAATCTATCCAAATGTCCACTTGCAGATTCAACAAAAAGTGTTTTTCAGAACTGCTCTATCAAAAGAAAGATTCACCTCTGTTAGCTGAGTTCACACATCACAAGCAAGTTTATGAGAATGCTTCTGTCTAGTTTATATTTGAAGATATTTCCTTTCTCACCATAGAGCTGAAAGCTGTCCTAATGTTCACTTCCAGATACTACAGAAAGAGTGTTTCAAAACTGCTGTACGAAAGGGAATGTTCAACTCTGTGACTTGAATGCACACATCACAAAGAAGTTTACTGAGGATGCTGCTGTCTACTTTTTATACGTAATCCCGTTTCCAACGAAATCCTCCAATCTATCCAAATATCCACTTGCAGATTCCACAGAAAGACTGTTTCAAATCTGCTCTGTCAACAGAAAGGTTCAACTCTGTTAGCTGCGTGCATATATCCCAAAGAAGATTCTGAGATTGCTTCTGTCTAGTTATTATGGGAAGATACTTCCCTTTTCACCGTAGGCGTCAAGGCGCTCCAAATGTCCACTTCCAGATACTACAAAGAGAGTGTTTCAAACCTACTCTGTGAAAGGGAATATTCAACTCTGTGACTTGAATGCACATATCACAAAGAAGTTTCTGAGAATGCTTCTGTCGAGATTTTATATGAAGATATTCCCGTTTCCAACGAAATCCTGAAATGTATCCAAATATCCCCTCGCAGATTCTACAAAAAGAGTGTTTCAAAACTGCTCTGTAAAAAGAAAGGTTCAACTCTGTTAGTTGAGTACAAACATCAGAAACAAGTTTCACACAATGCTTCTTTCTAGCTTGTAGGGGAAGATATTCCCTTTATCACCATGGGCCTCCAACCGTCCGAAACGTCCACTTCCATATACTACAAAAAGAGCGTTTCAAACCTGCTCTAGGAAAGGCAATGTTCAACTCCGTGACTTGAATGCAGACATCACAGAGCAGTTTCTGAGAATGCTTCTGTCTAGATTTTATAGGAAGATATTCCCGTTTCCAACGAAATCTTCACATCTATCCAAATATCCACTTGCAGATTCTACAAAAAGAGTGTATCAAAACTGCTCTGTCAAAAGGAAGGTTCTTTTCTGTTAGGTGAGTGCATACGTCATAAAGGAGTTTCTGAGAATGTTTCTGTCTAGTGGTTATGGGAAGATATTTGCTTTTTCACCGTAGGCCTCAGAGCGCTCCAAATATCCACTTGCGCATACTACAAAAAGAGTGCCTCAAAGCTGCTCTCTGAAACGGAATGTTCAACTCTATGAGTTGAATGCAAACATCGCAAAGACGTTTCTGAGAATGCTTCTGTCTAGATTTGATATGAAGATATTCCCGTTTCCAACGAAATCTTCAAATCTATGCAAATATCCACTTGCAGATTCAACAAAAAGTGTTTTTCAGAACTGCTCTATCAAAAGAAAGATCCACCTCTGTTAGCTGAGTTCACACATCAGAAACAAGTTTATGAGAATGCTTCTGTCTTGTTTTTATTTGAAGATATTTCCTTTCTCACCATAGACCTGAAAGCTGTCCTAATGTTCACTCCCAGATAATACACAAAGAGTGTTTCAAAACTGCTGTACGAAGGGGAATGTTCAACTCTGTGACTTGAATGCACACATCACAAAGAAGTTTCTGAGGATGCTGCTGTCTACTTTTTATACGTAATCCCGTTTCCAACGAAATCCTCCAAGCTATCCAAATGTCCACTTGCAGATTCCACAGAAAGACTGTTTCAAAACTGCTCTGTCAATAGAAAGGTTCAACTCTGTTAGCTGCGTGCATATATCCCAAAGAAGATTCTGAGATTGCTTTCTGTCTACTTTTTATGAGAAGATATTTCCCTTTTCACCCGTAGGCGTCAAGGCGCTCTAAATGTCCACTTCCAGATACTACAAAAAGAGTGTTTCAAACCTACTCTGTGAAAGGGAATATTCAACTCTGTGACTTGAATGCACATATCACAAAGAAGCTTCTGAGAATGCTTCTGTCGAGATTTTATATAAAGATATTCCCGTTTCCAACGAAATCCTGAAATCTATCCAAATATCCCCTCGCAGATTCTACAAAATGAGTGTTTCAAAACTGCTCTGTAAAAAGAAAGGTTCAACTCTCTTAGTTGAGTACACACATCACAAACAAGTTTCACAGAATGCTTCTTTCTAGCTTGTAGGGGAAGATATTCCCTTTATCACCATGGGCCTCAAACCGTCCGAAACGTCCACTTCCATATACTACAAAAAGAGCGTTTCAAACCTACTCTAGGAAAGGCAATGTTCAACTCTGTGACTTGAATGCAGACATCACAGAGCAGTTTCTGAGAATGCTTCTGTCTAGATTTTATAGGAAGATATTCCCGTTTCCAACGAAATCTTCACAGCTATCCAAGTATCCACTTGCAGATTCTACAAAAAGAGTGTATCAAAACTGCTCTGTCAAAAGGAAGGTTCTTCTCTGTTAGGTGAGGTGCATACGTCATAAAGGAGTTTCTGAGAATGTTTCTGTCTAGTGGTTATGGGAAGATATCTGCTTTTTCACCGTAGGCCTCAGAGCGCTCCAAATATCCACTTGCACATACTACAAAAAGAGTGCTTCAAACCTGCTCTCTGAAACGGAATGTTCAACTCTATGAGTTGAATGCAAACATCACAAAGACGTTTCTGAGAATGCTTCTGTCTAGATTTGATATGAAGATATTCCCGTTTCCAACGAAATCTTCAAATCTATCCAAATGTCCACTTGCAGATTCAACAAAAAGTGTTTTTCAAAACTGCTGTATCAAAAGAAAGATCCACGCCTGTTAGCTGAGTTCACACATCACAAACAAGTTTATGAGAATGCTTGCTGTCTACTTTTTATACGTAATCCCGTTTCCAACGAAATCCTCCAAGCTATCCAAATATCCACTTGTAGATTCCACAGAAAGACTGTTTCAAAACTGCTCTGTCAATAGAAAGGTTCAACTCTGTTAGCTGCGTGCATATATCCCAAAGAAGATTCTGAGATTGCTTCTGTCTAGTTTTTATGGGAAGATATTTCCCTTTTCACCGTAGGTGTCAAGGCGCTCCAAATGTCCACTTTCAGATACTACAAAAAGAGTGTTTCAAACCTACTCTGTGAAAGGGAATATTCAACTCTGTGACTTGAATGCACATATCACAAAGAAGTTTCTGAGAATGCTTCTGTCGAGATTTTATATGAAGATATTCCCGTTTCCAACGAAATCCTGAAATGTATCCAAATATCCCCTCGCAGATTCTACAAAAAGAGTGTTTCAAAACTGCTCTGTAAAAAGAAAGGTTCAACACTGTTAGTTGAGTACACACATCACAAACAAGTTTCACAGAATGCT